>NC_000008.11:15617678-15920708 GCF_000001405.40 Homo sapiens | reverse complement strand
AGTTTACAGTAATTGACTCATTATATTTTTGTACCACAGAGACAAAATGCAACATTATTGTTTATACATAGCTCTTTCTCAGCTGTGCCTGAAGACAACACTGTAATTACTGTCTGTAGGCTCATCTTATAGTAATCAACAATATTTAATAAGTGTTCAATTTCAAATTATGTATGAGGTAATAAAAACAATGAGGTGGTTTTTAAGAAATAACATGTTGCTATGACTACTATTTTCAAAGTTAGATGATACTAACCACAAATTGATATTTATTTTTCCTATTTTTCTCATCTTGGCCATATGGTCAGTGAAAACAGAATGATTGAACAAATATAAGACCATATATAGATGAAGATCAATTTAGACCAATGTTTGCTGCCTTTCAGGCCTGACTTGGGTTGCTGGCTAAAGTATATGTAGCAGAGATATCCCAGGGGCTATAAGTTTTTCATCAAAAGAAGCTTCTCATAGGAGAAGTGAGATTGCTCAGACAAAGTAATACATTAAAGGGTACAAAACCTCTGGCTCTCCTCAGAAGTTTAATGCAGGGAGAGAAGACAGAACCAGGGCATTTGTTATTATTCCAGACTATCAATTTGATATGGTTTGGCCTCTTGCCACCCAAATCTCATCTTGAATTGTAATCCCCACATGTCAAGGGAGGGACCTGGTGGGAGGTGATTGGATCATGGGGGCAGTTTCCCCCGTGCTATTCTCATGATAGTGAGGAAGTTCTCACAAGAGACGATGTTTTTTTGTTTGTTTGTTTGTTTTTGTTTTTGTTTTTGTTTTGAGATGGAGTCTCGCTCTGTCACCCAGGCTGGAGTGCAGTGGTGCAATCTCAGTTCACTGCAAGCTCCGCCTCCCGGGTTCACGCCATTCTCCTGCCTCAGCCTCCCGAGTAGATGGGACTACAGGCGCCCACCACCACACCTGGCTAATTTTTCTGTATTTTTAGTAGAGATGGAGTTTCACCATGTTAGCCAGAATGGTCTCGATCTCCTGACCTCATGATCCGCCCGCCTCAGCCTCCCAAAGTGCTGGGATTACAGGCATGAGACACCGCGCCTGGCTGTGAGCTGATGGTTTTAAAAGTGTTTGGAAGTTTCCCCTTCATGGCTCTTCTCTCTCACCTGCCACCATGTAAGACGTGCCTTGCTTCTCCTTTGTGTTCTGCCATGATTGTTAAGTTTCCTGAGGCCTCCCCAGCCATGCAGAACTGTGAGTCAAAAACCTTTTTTCTTTATAAATTACCCAGTCTCAGGTGGTATTCTTTATAGCAGTGTGAAAATGGACTAATACACAATATTAATTCTTACACTAGAAGACAAAGGAGGAAAAATCTGATTAACCTCATGAAAAATAAATTTCAGTTATTTAAAAATAAGTTTTAGGTAGCCTTTCTAGGGAGTGTTTATTTCTAATATTAATAAAAGTTTTAAACAGAGCAGTGTTTATATAAAAGCACATTTAAAATAATATAGTAATATTATTTTGTTCTCTAATTAAGACAAGATATTTTTGGCATAATGAAAATCATGCTGCTTCATGTTTTTATTGGTTACTAGTTCCATGCCTCCTTTAACAATAAGAGTACTTGACTCCATTCCAGAAACCTAAATTAACAGCCACATCTTAAGCCTTGTCATCTCCGAAAAAAAGACTCTCCAAACTCCAGTATCCCACTCTCCAATTTTTCCAGCTGATTGCAGCTATTTCTCCACTTTAATTAGACTTGTAATTTCTTGACACTCCCATTTTCATTTCCCTTTTATGTATTATTTTCCTTGTATCTTTCACTTTCTTTCTAAACCCTTTGATTCATAACCTTAACTACACCCTTCCCAGTGTCTTGATTTCCCTTGTTTTCTGCTGCCTTCATAAAAACCTGCTCAGAAAAACACTCCCACCACAAATCAGTCTCAACCCCCTTCCATGCACTTGTACCTGGTCTCTTGAGCCCTGCTGAAAAACATTGTACAGTCGCATATTTGGTGCCATTAAAGCCAACAACTTAAATTTTCAACAAGCGTTACACACTATCTGGCAATCCTTCTGTATTTCGCTGCCCAACTCTCTCTCCAAAAGCAGCTATTTCAAAACATCTCTTTTTCTCAGGCACTCCACTCCTACCAGTACTACTTTATTCTCGCCGTAGAGTCTCGCCTTTTACTTCCTCCCTTTCTCATCCAGTTACTCACATCCATTGGTTTCTTTTCTCTTTCCCTGTGGTCAGTATGGAAGAATTGGAAGAAACATACTAGTTCATGCTCCTGTGTTCTGTATTGCATCCTTCACTACATCCTCAGATAAGTCATTCATTCAGTTATACTTCCTCCTACAAATTTTTTTTTTTTTTTTTTTTTGAGATGGAGTCTCGCTCTGTCGCCCAGGCTGGAGTGCAGTGGTGGGATCTCGGCTCACTGCAAGCTCCGCCTCCCGGGTTCACACCATTCTCCTGCCTCAGCCTCCCAAGTAGCTGGGACTACAGGCGCCCGCCGCCATGCCTGGCTAATTTTTTGTATTTTTAGTAGAGACGGTTTTTCATCGTGTTAGCCAGGATGGTCTCGATCTCCTGACTTCGTGATCTGCCCGCCTCGGCCTCCCAAAGTGCTGGGATTACAGGCGTGAGCGTCTGCGCCCGGCCACTTTCTCCTACATCTTTAAAATACCCCTGATTATTGCCTCTTTCCCAGATATCCTCACGCCTTTCTTGTCTTAAAACACACGTCTGTGACCTAATGCACACGTCAGGTATGTTTACTTCTTTCCCTTCCCTCTTCAGTGACACTGTTTCATTCCGTATATGTCCTCGCCTCCCGTGCACTCACTCTTTTGCATCCACCCTTGTGATAAAATTTCCCTTGACAGAGAAACTCCATTGATTACCTTGTTACAAAACCCTTGAAATCCAATGAAAACCTTTCAGCACTTTTCTTTCTGATCTCTTTTTATCATTCCACTTCGTTGTTCAACTCTTTCTTACAATTCTTTATTTTGCTTCTATAAATCCACACTTTTCTCATTTTCCTTTTGTATCCTGGGTCAATCTTCAGTCAGTCTGATTTTCCAGTGCTTCTTTTTCCACATATGCTTTGAATGTGTGTGTGTGTGTGTGTGTGTGTAGGTGTGTGCATCAGAGATATACCTCCTGTCCTCTAATATTCCCACTTCGGCATTCTAGTTGAGTTTTGCATTCCACTGTTATGTGTTTAGTTAACATTGATGTGACATTTACATCCCCTTTTCTGTGCCTTCAAGTCAGACATTTCTGTGACTTTCAGACCAATCTAGTCAAAGGTTTACTGAATATTTTTTATTATACAGAGAGCTTAGTCGCCAAAATTAAAGTCTTAATTTTCTACCCACCCCCAGAATAGCTGTGACTTCTATTTTTTTTTTTTTTTATGGAAAGACGCCAGCATCCACCCAGAAAACTTAAGTTTGCCCAAGCCAGGAAATCTGAAGTTATCTCTGAGTCTTCATTCCCCTACTATCATATTCAAGTTATCACCTTAGCCTATTGATATCTTCTAGAAATGACCTGATTTCGTCTGTTTCTCATTATACCCAATGCCCTTGCTTGGCATAGACAATGGTCCTTTTTCATCTGTAGTACAAAAAAGTTCTAACTGGTCCTACTGCTTCTTTTCAATCTTACTAGTTCTAAAATCTAAGTGAGAACTGATATAAAACTGTTCAGTGATTCCCCACTGTTATTGGGATAAAATCCAAGTTTCCATAAATGTAAGAAATTCTCCAAGCTACCTGCAGTTCCCAGATATGCCATCTCTTTTTTTCTTTCTTTCTTTCTTTTAATTTGCCTTCCAGCCATTGAGCATGCCACTTCCTCTGCCTGTAAGAAATGAGAACAAATTGGCCTAATCAAATGCCCATTATTTAGGATTTCATTCAAATCCTACCTCTTTCAGGAAGACTTCTCTGACCTCCCGAAGCTGAATTGGATGTCTGCTTTATTGCACCATATCCTACCATGTTTTTTTTAAAGTGCGTATTTCTTTTAATATACAATATGCAATTCTCCAAGTTTTCCTGTGCCAAATTATCCATCTTTACTTTATATTTCCCGCCCCAGGTAACTTTCAAGAATCCCCGTGGGCAGTTCAACTGTTCTAGTTGCAGTCTTGGTGACTGCCTCTCACTTCTGCCAGAAATCCTTTTTCCAAACCAAAGCAACTCTTGTTTTCTTCTACCCAGCTTCTTCAAGATGCTGTAAGGATAGAAAAAACCCACCTACTTGACTCCTTGAGAATGAAGTCAAAAACAACTTACTATGTTTCACAAACTTTACGAAATTTTTGGAAATGAAATAAATGTCCAGTTAGCATGTTACATTGCTTCTAGTTATCCTGAGGGCACACAAGCCCAGATTCAAATCCAGAGATTCTCTTGAGCCTGCTGCCGCTCCTATGTGGAAGATTACAGCTCAAATATCACCACCTAGGATCTCTCTGATTTTCCCACCTCTGGGTCCAGGTCTTGAATTCTCCAGCTCCAAAGAGAAAAGAATGTTCATCTCTTTCTAAGCCAGAGTCAACCCATTTCCACCCTAATATGATTAAAATTTCATATATTCTCCATCATCGAGATAAGGCAATAAGGGTGGTTGATAGTACATTTATAAAACTTCCAAGAGTGTTTTGTTTATCCAATCAGAAATAAATTAATGTATGAGTAACCAGCTGCATTGAATCAAGCTCAGCCCAACTCATTTTTATATTTCTTCCTCCAGCAAGGGTCATCTACATCTTTTAAGACATGGTTGCCATCTTGTCCTGTACTGTGAGTAAATATTTGAACAAAAGACACACTCACTCCACTAAAAACAAGTAATTTTCAGGAACAGTCACATCTAAATCCATACCGAAGGAGAGAAACATTTCCGACTCTACAAGGCTCTAACCTGTTACAAGAGGCTCCTAGTTACAATCCCATTCAATTCGTATTTAACTTCTCAGTCAGTCAGAAGTATCTGCTTTTTTTCATTGGTGGTTTCATAGTTTTCTAAGAATAATGGGTAGAATCTTGTGTTACACTTATATAACTAAAGGATACTTTCTTGTAATTTTATCAAAACGAGTTTGCTCCAGTGATTTTTCCACTTTCAGGGATAAAAGAATTGCTAAGCAACTTTAAAATAGCAATTCTCCAACTTCAGAAAGTTTGAAGTCCCATTAAACACTTCATTGATTGTATATAGTACAGTATTATAACTCATTTGCTACTTTTCCATCTCCTCCACTGGCCTGAGAGGATAGACTGCTATTTCGTTTCTTGTTGTATACCTTGCTCTAAGCAAGGAGCTTGGCACATACAAAGTATTGTTAAAAAAACGAATGAAAGGGCAAATGGATGAATCATTCAACTGCCTGATCTGATGACTTATCTGCCACCTACACATAGCTCTGCCTCAGTTATCACTTCTTCTAACCAGAGGATAAGACAGCTTTCCTCCTTGTGGTTTATAGGTAATTCTTTTCTTTATTCTTTGTACTTCATCCTTTCTTGTTTCTCAGCCAGACCCATCAATGTTCCTTTATCTCATATATTTATATGGAGTAAGAAACATATGTAACTTCAATGTAATGACTCCTCTTAAGCATGTACTTTGCTCAGATCTTTTCCTTTTTAATGTCTCTCCTTTTACTTTGCTCATATTATATTTACCCTTTCTTTCCTGTCTTGCAAGAGTAGGTAATATTCTTGCTCCTATTTTCTCACCTGCTTCTTACTCCTCGAGTAACTACTGGAAATTTGGTTTGTTGGTTGGTTGGGATATTTTTGTTGTTGTTTTTTATTTGATTGGTTGGTTTTGGTTTTGGTTTTAGTTGTGTTTTTTTCCATTATCATCAGAGATTTCGTAGTGGCCAAACTCAATGTACAATTTCAGCCTTTTTTTGCTCAAACTGTCCACCATATTTGGCATTGCTGATCATTCTTACCCTCTTCATGTCCTTTCCCCTCTTGGAATCGTAACACCATAATGTCCTGGCTTTCTTCCTGTGCCCCTGTCCACTCCTTCCCAGTCTCATGTTCAGGCTTCTCTTATTCTTTCTGACCTTCAAGTGTTGGTGGCCCCGGGTGTCCCATTCTTGGCCCTATTCTCATTCCACTGTGTCTCCTGGTAGGATCTCATCCTGTCACTCTCTGCTTGTGACTTCCACAGCCAACAAGGTTTTCCTGAATTCTAGAACATGTATCTATTTTCTTTCTAAAAATCACACACTCTTAGATGAACCACAACATCTGAAATTCAACTTCTCTATGAATTCATTATCATCCCTTAAAGCTCCTCCACAACGTTTTTCCTAAATTCTTTATCACAGTGAGTTTTATATGCTGATACACTGAAAGAAAGAGAACAAAAACCAAACCTGAGGTTAATTTTGGTTTCTGCCTTTCTCTTATGATCCCTTTTACTTCTCTCCCAAATCTAATCAGTTCTTCCAACTTTCTAAATAATCTTCAAAAGTATATCTGCATTCTCATTGCTACCACCGCTTTATCCATGCTTTGATTTTTGAGAAATATTAGTGTCTTTCCCTCCTCCCTCTTCACTTCCAGTTTCATCGCTTCTATTCAATGCTTCACTCTTCTGTTATTGTAACTTTTCTGAACCATGAATCTGATGTGATCACATTCTCTCAAGTGTACTATAATGTATTAAGGATAAAAGCTGGCATACAAAGCTACTCATGATCTAGTCTGACTACACATATCTCAGGCCACACATCACTTCGCATTCCTTCATTCCTCTTTCTCAAGCCTACCCCAGTCCCCCTTTAGACACACGTGCACACACACACACACACACACGCACATTGTCAAGTGACACCAGACTTCCTACCAGCCCCAAGAGATCATGCTGTTATTCGTTCACATATTTTACTCATGTTGTTTTCTTTGGTGTTCTATCCTTCCTCTTTTCATCTGACAAAATAGAGATTCACCTCAATATCTACCTCACTGACCCCTGCAGCAACATCAGGTGACATTCCATGCTCTTTCATAGCATTCTGTGCACATTTATAACATCACATTCATTATTTTTTTTAATTCTCTATCTCCTGATAGACATATCATTTCTTGAGATCAGAGGCGTTGATTTTCAACTCAGTGTTCATGATGTCAAATATAATGATGGGTACATAATAAGTACTCTGTAAACACTTATTGAATGAAAGTAGACATGCTCAAACTAGCAAATCTATTAAACCACATGTACTGAGTAGAACAGGAGGAAAAAGTAACCATGCTAATGTTGTTTTTTGTTGTTGCTGTGGTTTTACTCACCTTTACACCCCCAGTATTCCCCCTGAGGCTGGTGTCCCTTAGAGTCTCTCCATTTCAATGTCTCCGGAGAATTCACCCCACAACTCCTATTGGTGAGGGGGAGTATCATTATTTGGTTATTCAGGGCAAGGGACTTAGATGTCCCATTGGCTCTACCTTGAAAACATACCTAGACACCAATAATCTTCCAGCATTTCCACTGCTCCTGCTCCAGCCCTAGCCACTTGGGATGGTTAGTGTTATGTGACAGTGTGGCCAGGTTACAGTGCCAGCTGTTTGTTCAAGCACCAATCTAGATCATCACTCTGAAGGTGTTTCTTCAATGTGATTAACATTTTCAATCACCTCACTCTGAGTGAAGCTAATTACCCTCTGTGATGTGGGCAGGCCTCATCCAAGCATTTGAAGCTTGAGAGCAAAGACTGAGGTCTCCCAGAGAAGAAGCAATTCTGCATCAAGACTGTAGCATAGATACCCTGCCTGAGTTTCCAGCCAGCCTGGTCTGCCATGCGAAATTTTGATCCAAAACTACATCAGTTCCTACCTGAATATTCAGCCTCCTGGCTTGTCCTTAGAATTTTGGATATGCTAGCCACCACATTCACGCATGGCCAAATTTCTTAAAATCCACCCCCCTCCCTCCCCAGCCCTCGGTCTCTCTCCTCATACACACACACACACACACACACACACACACACACACACACACACACATATAACCTCTCTCTCTCTCTCTCCGTCTCTCTCTCTCTCTCTCACAGAGTCATGCATCACTTAACAAAGGAGATCGATTCAGAGAAATGTCCCCATTTGAAGAAATGCATTGTTAGGCGATTTCATCATTGTGTGAATATCACGGAGTGCGCTTACACAAACCTAGATGGCATAGCCTGCTACACATGCAAGCTGTGTGTTCGAGCCTATTGATCCCAGGCTACAGACCTACACGACATGTTACTGTACTGAATACTGTAGGTAATTGTAACACAATGGTAAGTATTTGTGTATCAAACATATAGACCTAGGAAAGGTAAAGTAAAAATATGATATAAAAGATTTTGTTTAAATGGCACAACTGTATAAGGCAGATCCCATGAATGGAGCTTGCTGGACTGGAGGGTGTGCTGGGTGAGGGTGAGCGACCGGTGAGTGAATGTGAAAGCCTGGACATTCCTGTACTCTACTGCAGATTTTATAAATAGTAGGTTGGTGCAAATCTAATTGCTGTTTTTACCATTAAAAGTAATGGCAAAAGCCACAATTACTTTTTCACTAGCCTAATATTTTACACTTAGGCTACACAAAATTTATAAACAAATATTTTTCTTCAATAATAAATTAACCATAGCTTACTGTAACTTTTTAATTTATAAACTTTTAATTTTAATTTTTTTAGCTTTTATAACAGTACAAATGTTATACAGCTATACAGAAATATTTTCTTTCTTTATACTTCTATTAATATTTTTCTATTTAAACTTTTTTTTAACATTTTCAACTCTTTTTGTTAAAAACAAAGAAAGAGTACATGCATCAGCCTAGGACTATACAGGGTTGAAGCAATCTGGACATCACTAGGTGATAGGAATTTTTAAGCTCCATTAGAATCTTATGGCACCATCATTGTATTAACATATACAGTCCATCACTAACTGAAACATCATAATGTAGCGCATGACTGTGTGTGTGTGTGCGCGCGCGCGCACGCCTGTGTGTGTGTGTGTGTGTGTGTGTGTGTGTGTGTGTGGTCATGACTGCCCTCCTTTCACTCTAGCTCAATCCCTTACAGCCTATTCACCACATAGCAGGTAGAATCATCCTTTTCAAACACCAGTCTGTATCTGTCTAGGTCAGATAAAGTCTATAAACTCCTGACCAAGGACAGCAGGACTCTAATTGTCCCGGCCAGGTGTCCAAACATCCGTCTTGTCATTCTAGCTTCTCCTTAACCCACCCCAGCTATCCTGGCATCCAACCTTATCTCCGCCATGGAGATTTACATTCGTCTCCATTGCTTGGAATGTTCCTCATCCAGCTCTTTACTCCCCATGTCGAGGTCTCTGCTCCAATCTTTTCTCCTCAAAGAGGCTGCTCCTAATTTACCCATTCATGAATCATCGTTCTTCTCCTTGTACCACTAACCATCACTTTTAATTTCTTTATCTGACTTTGTTTTTCTTCATGACACTTAATACAACCTGAATTTATAACACTTAATTATTTCTCTACTTTTAATTTTCTGTCTCCCTAAGTAAAGTGGAAGCTTAATGAAGGAAGGAAAAGTGTCTGTCTTATTCCCCAAGTATCCTCAAAATACTTGGTATATAGTGACAGCTCACTAAATCTTCATTTAGATGAATGAATGAGTAGTCTTCATCTGAAATTTTATAGCATGCTGCGTTGATAACATAATTAAAGAATTACTTCTTCATCATTTGGCTGAATATATAACAAATAAAAGACTCAGTTCCCAGTTGAAGTAAATGTACTTTATAGAGAATGTGAAAAGATTAACATAAAGCTGCATGAGAAGATCACCAAAGGGAACACACTGATTATTCATTCTTATCTCCCATTCTAGAAGTCTGTGCGTTTCCATGGTTTGACAAGTTATCTGATATAACAGTCACAAGCACTTTTGTAAGCCCACCAGATCATTTTCTCTCATTACATTTTCATCTCTAATAAAGGAATATATTCTCCTGTTTAAGTTATATTGAACCCTATTCTCTTTAAGACATAAATTAAGCCTCTTATTTAACTAAAGAATTAGGTCAGTCTTATCTAGATTGGCTGGCTGTATTATCTAAATTGTTGATCAGTCAGGTGATTCCAAAGGCAGAATGTTATAGTGGAAAGAGCACTGGAGTAGGAATCAAAATACTGACTCTGGCCCACATATTCCCCATGCTTGGTAAGCCACGCAAAACTAGACCTCACAGAGCGGAGAATGATAGTCATAGCTTATATGACCCATTGACAAATGCATGGGTGACCATGTGTGAGCAGGTGTCAGCAAAAGTGTGTGTGTAAAAGAGGCAGAAAGAGAAAATAAGATACAACACATGGATATACTTTGACTCTTGGTATTTAAAATATCAAAATTATTACTGAATAATAACAGCTAATATTTGTTGAGCACATATTATATTCTAGACACTGCTCTAGGTGTTTATATTCATTATCCCAGGTAATGCCATGGAAGCCTCAGGTGATAAATCTGCTTGTCATCTTCATTATATGCCTGAGCAACCTGAGGCATCCAGAGATTATGTAACTTGCCCAGGGTCACTCAGAAAGCAGGTGTCAAGCTTCAGGGAGAGGCAATGTGTTTCAGGAGTCTTGAATTCATCCATGATATTATATTGCTGCATAGATGCAGTCTTAGAAGATATTTTGGGCCAGGCGTGGTGGCTCATGCCTATAATCCCAGCACTTTGAGAAGCAAAGGCAGGTGGATCACTTGAGCTCAGGAGTTCAAGACCAGCCTGGGCAACGTGGTGAAACCCCATCTCTACTAAAAATACATTTTTTAAAAATTAGCTGGGCATGGTGGCACATGCCTGTAATCCCAGCTACTTGGGAGGCTGAGGCATGAGAATCACATGAGCCCAGGAGGCAGAGGTTGCAGTGAGCTGAGATTGCACCACTGCACGCCAGCTTAAACAACCGAGTGAGACCCTGTATCAAAAAAAAGAAAAAGAAAAAAGACATTTTGGAGAATTTTTGCTTTTCAGTTCCCCATTACATGATAGACGTATGTGAGATCCAGCCTAGAGACTGACTTATGGTAGGGGCCTTTAAATATTAATGCCTTTTCTTCTTTCTAGTACACAACTGCCTCTTTTGAACTTCTCAATAGATATACTCTTTCTTCCCATAGGCACTTTTGGTCCTGGTGAGTCATCCTACTGATTTAAGTTTGTAAGAAGATGAAATTGGTGTATATATACGTTTATTCTGGAACAGGAGGTATTACTAAGAATAGATGCTATTTATTTCTACCCTATTTTTGTAACCATTTCTACTAGTCAGGAACCGTGCTAAGTAATCGTTATAGATAACTCTCATTAGAAAAGCTCAAAATTACTTTGTTAAACATATTTTTCTTATGCTGTTTAGAACTCCTTTTTATAAATATTCTAAGACTTTTGTCACTGCACGGGCTTGCTACTTGTCATGAGAGAAGGACCTGGTGAGGACAAAACGAAATTCCTGTAATCACCTCACCGGCACTCCCTTTTATTCACCAAACGACCTGCATAATAGCAAAAGGTAGATGTATCTTCAATTCTTATTAGAAAATACGAAAGTTTTAACTTCTTCTTTGTGAACAAAAATAAGCATTTATTTCTCACTACCTGCACCCGAGGAAATGACTCATCTGGCATTACATCATATTTAGCCAAAAATCCCTTTGATCTTTTTCGACATAGCTACTCCCAAGGACAGAAAAAAAAAAAAAAAAAGCAGTCTTTCCTTGCCTGGGGGATTAAGAAAGCCAGGTTTGTTCTTTTTGAACATAATCTGTGACCTTCTACAGATTAGTTCTTCTCTTTAGAAAAATAAAAGGCAATAACCGTTTGAAGTTTCCCTTATTTTTTTTATGCTCAAGAAAGTAAAAAACTGAGGGAGAATAAAGCATTATCTCACAGAAAGTATATTTTTTCCTAAGCATGCCTGAAGTATGTCTGCCTCTAGTTGTAGAATTTGATATTAATCTCTTTGAGTCGTGAATCTGGTTCCTACCTACATTGCAATTGCCGGCAACAGCCAGCATAGTGGATCTTTTCTCAGGCGTGTTTCATCAGCAGTTAGTGAATGACAGCTTGCCAGATGGTCACAAATAGCACTTTCTTTAAATTCTGTGTTCAAAAAGGACATCGAGAACCATAGCAGTTTGTTCATTGCTTATCTGAAGTGTAAAGAGAATGAACAAGTTTTGAACCAAATTCCTACCTACGGAAGCCCTTTAGGGGTAGCTCTTAGAAACACACCCAAAGTTTCCAATTTATCAAAAACCACAAAATAGCCTTCATCTTTGACATAGTGACCAAATGAAAGTCACATAAAGTAACATCTTGACCTGAAATGACCCTGTGGGGGATGGTGATGCTGCTGTAATATACACAGTTACATAAAAGCTGGGAAATAGGAGGTTCTTACTATTTTTCTCCGAGCTGAATAATTTTTCTTCTTTTATAAAAGTAATAGGCTGTATTTCTGCTTTCAAAATCTGTTATTTTAATTAGAGAACTGAGAAACATTCTCTCTTGCTAAATCTTCTCATCCCTGTTGAAATGTAATGATTAGTTAGTTTCAAGCCATCAGCACAGAAATAATATTTGCAGCTGTCCCATCGTGTGGATGGTCCTTTTCCTCCATGTGAAAGCCAGATCCTGTTTTCCTTTTGGTCATAAGTGAGCAAATTAGGAGGAAGGTAAAATGAATAAATCTTCATTACATTCTAGAAAAGAGTATTGTAAACTGCTGACTTAAGCTGTACCCAGCAAATTAAATGGCGAGGAGCTCCTCCTTACACCAGAAGGTAGGATGACTTTTTAACAATTGGGAAGAGTCCCTGAGAGTGTAAATACTCTAATTTCACACCTGGCCCAAATGTGTCAGGAGTGATCTAACTTTTACATTTGAAGCGTCGCTCTGTCTCACTATAGAATGGGGTGGATTGTATTTGAAGTCAGGTTCTTAAATAAAACTTTTCACATTGCTCAAAGTTCTACTCTCTCATAACGCATAAGAGCTTGTTCCTTTTTCTGTAAACTTTACACCCATGCTTGTGCCCGGTATTTATTAAGGAAAATGGGCTCATTTTCCTAAGGGTATTTTTTTCCAAGTTTTAAACGTATTAGGTCTGACCATTTTTTGTCACATCTGGTGGTCTGATTGCAGATACAGGATACAATGTTCATAAGAGCAAAGAAGATGTTTGCAAGAAGGTGAACAAATTAGTTTAACACCCATTCAATCCCTCATAGCTACAGAATATTGGAATACAATTGTGCACATACCGGGGCTGTCACTACAGCCCTCCCTACACTGGTGCAAATGTATTCACCTAAACTTAGGTTTGCCAACCCTTTTTCCCCCAACACCTGAATCTGTACAACCAAGAAGTGAAAAAAAACATTTGCCCATGAATTCTCCCTATGTAATCCAAATACGCCCGGATAAGAAGAGAATTCTGTGGAATTCAAAATGTAATATAGTGTATTGCATTCCTTGGGATTTTTTTCATGTACCAGTTTATAGAAATTAAAAAGAAACATATTAATTATATGATTCTTTAAAATACAAGTTTACTTGTGTTTTGTATGAGTTCTGTCTCTTTTTTTTTTTTAAGTTTTCTCTTGTGGGCATCATTATAGGCCACTTTAACTCATGTGTTATACTTCCGACCACATATATTCATAGGATAATGCTAGCTAAACTTTCAGCAGCATATACAGTTTAGAAATTGCAAAGAAAATTTCATGATAACCCTCATTATCAAAAAATACTTCATAATTGCTTTTACTTTGAGTATAAATTACTAAAGACAGAATCTGACTCTTCAAGTTATTAAATGCTAACATGGCATGATGGGAGAAATAAAACCATTTAATGCCACTTCATTTAAAATGACTGTTTCTTAAGATTCAGAAGTATTTATATATCCCAGTGCTCTGCCCTAAGATATACAGTATGTATTCTCTCTCAAAGTGAGTGTTGTTTATCAATATCTGTGAATTTCTGTTATTGTAATATCTAGAAAAACCTTCAAACTTAAGAATATTTTAAATATTCAGTTCTCACAGAACCAACACAAACATCTTATGTTTCCTGGCTCCAGTGAACAGGTCACCTCTTTCTCTCTGTCTTTATTCTGAGCTCCAAGACTGCAATGAAAGGATCCAATGATTTCTGAATAGAACACAGAGACGAGACACCCCTGCTGTCTGCCAGAGTGTTCAGGCCTGCCTTCTTTCTCCAGACCCCACCTTGATTCCCACTTCACAACACTTCACCTTCTTGCAAATACCTACACTGGAAGTCTAGGTTTTGGGGCCCTGGGTCCAAGGAGCACTTCTCAGGTAGGTGTTAGTCAAAACCAGGGCTGAATTTTTGGTTCGTTTTTCATTTTGCTTTGTGTTGGTGGTAGAATGAAACATCCTTTAGTCATTTTCTACCTTACTCAACTCACAAACACATCTGTGACAACCATACATTTTAGCTAGAAAGATAAATAATAAATAATAAAATTTGGATATCTGTCCCTGCCCAAAACGCATGTTGAATTGTAATCCCCAGTGCTGGGGGTGGGCCTGGTGGGAGGTGTTTGGATCACGGGGAAGGACCTCTCATGGCTTGATGCTGTCTTTGTGGTAGTAAGCTCTAGTGAGATCTGGTCATTTAAAAAGTATGTGTTCTTTGTAGATTCTGGATATTAGCCCTTTGTCAGATAGGTAGATTGTAAAAATTTTCTCCCATTCTGTAGGTTGCCTGTTCACTCTGATGGTAGTTTCTTTTGCTGTGCACTTAAACAAATTTACAAGAAAAAATCAAACAACCCCATCAAAATGTGGGTGAAGGATATGAACAGACACTTCTCAAAAGAAGACATTTATGCAGCCAACAGACACAGGAAAAAATGCTCATCATCACTGGCCATCAGAGAAATGCAAATCAAAACCACAATGAGATACCATCTCACACCAGTTAGAAAGGCCATCATTAAAAAGTCAGGAAACAACAGGAGAAATAGGAATACTTTTACACTGTTGGTGGGACTGTAAACTAGTTCAACCATTGTGAAAGACAGTGTGGCAATTCCTCAAGGATCTAGAACTAGCAATGCCATTTGACCCAGCCATCCCGTTACTGGGTATATACCAAAAGGATTATAAATCATGCTACTATAAAGACACATGCACACGTATGTTTAATGCGGCACTATTCACAATAGCAGAGACTTGGAACCAACTCAAATGTCCATCAATGATAGACTGGATTAAGAAAATGTGGCAGATACACACCGTGGAATACTATGCAGCCATAAAAAATGATGAGTTCGTGTCCTTCGCAGGGACATGGATGAAGCTGGAAACCATCATTCTGAGCAAACTATGGCAAGGACAGAAAACCAAACCCCGCATGTTCTCACTCATAGGTGGAAATTGAACAATTAGAACACTTGGACACAGGGTGGGGAACATCACACACCGGGGCCTGTCATGGGGTCGGGGGAGCAGGGAGGGATAGCATTAGGAGTTATGTCTAATGTAAATGACGAGTTAATGGGTGCAGCACACCAACATGGCACATGTATACATACGTATCAAACCTGCACGTTGTGCACATGTACCCTAGAACTTAAAGTATAATAAAATACATAATAAAAAATAAAAAGTATGTGACACCTTCCCGCTCCTCACTCTCTCTCTTGCTCCTACTTTCACCATGTGAAGTGCCTGTTCTCCCTTTACCTTCTGCCATGATTGTAACCTTCCTGAGGCCTTCTAGAAGCCAAGCAGTTGTCACCATCATGCGTCCTGTAAAACCTGCAGAAACGTGAGCCAATTAAACCTGTTTTCTTTATAAACTAAGGAGTCTCAGATACTTTTTATAGCCTTGCAAGAATGGCTTAATACAATAAACAATACATATAAGTCAACCATTTAACATTTTAGAAGGTGAATAGTGCTACAGAAAAAAAGAAAAAGGGGGGCCATTAAGTGGCATCAACTGCAGGGTGGAGAAAGTATATAAGTATGTGTGTATATATATCAGTATATATATAGAGAGGAGGTCTCACTGTGTCACCCAAGCTGGAGTGCAGTGGCACAGTCATAGTTCACTATAGCTTCAAACTCCTGGCCTCAAATGATCCTCCTGCCTTGGCCTCCCAAAGCTCTGGGATTACAGGCATGAGCCACAGCACCCGGCCTGGGATTACAATTTTAATAGGGTGGTGAAGAAAGCCCTCAATGAACAGATGACATTTGAGCAAAGACTTCAATAATAACTCATCAAAGTAAGGCTTATTCAAAGGTATGACTCATACCTGCAAGAAAACTGAATTTCCCAGCCAATAATGATCAAATTTTTAGTATTCAGTGAGGATATAACTGGTTTTTAAAATATACGATCACAAGACAACCATAAGACCATGGGCACTATACACACATTAATATCTCTTAGCAGGTAATCCTAATTGACCAGAGCTAGCGACACTTGTTTTCAGGGAAGGTTTTCCATTAAGAGAAAAGTTAACATGTTGATTCTAACTCAGAACTTTGGGAATTAACTCCTTATTTTTGTAAATACACACTTTTGAGGGAAGGATAAACCGAAGCAGATTCGTGTGGGGTGGGTGTCCATCTACCTATCACTGAAAACTCGTTACCTGTATATTTAAAGATACGGAATTTGTACCTTCACCTTCCTCTCAATAGAATAGACGGAATGATGGAAACTATTACCTTCTCCAAGGTAATAGTTTCCTGTGACATTTTTTGGTTCCTCAAATTTTCTCTCAAAGATTCATGTATCTGCTTACAAATGTCATTGTTAAGCAATATATTCAGTTCACAGGAAAGTAAAATAAACATTATCGTTACTAGAAATAGGTCAAGTGAACCTATTAGCAAGTGTATTTCTAGATATGCATGCTGTTTTAGATGAGTTATTGATTTCAGCTATAAATAGTCTATGGGGGGGTTTACTTGCTTCATTTTTAATTTTAGCAGACTCATTTGATAAAACCAGCACACAACTTTTTTTAAAATATATTTGGAATACTTTTGAACATATACCTTCCAGGTCTGTAAAAAACGGTTTGGAACATTAACTGCAGAGTTCCTCAATAACTCTTGATGGATCTTCTCTCTTATAAAAGGAAAGCTCTATGGTTAACAACAAAATAATTATAATTACTGTTATTGTGAGATATGCATAAACATAGGTATGAAAGGAAAAAAAGGCTATGTACTCACCAAACAAGCCTAAGCTGTCCCACTCTTTCTTTGATTACTTCAGTCCTTTACATTTCTTTCGACTCACTGTTGTGCTCTGCCATGAAGTCTACTAAAAGGATTTTGTACTGAATTTATTACCATGATTTGGAAAATACCGCAAATCAGTAATGTGATCCAATATTAGAGAGATTTTTTTTCTACCTTTTGAAGTTTTCACTAGCTGAAGTTGTGGGGAAACATGTCCCTGCTATATAATTCTGATGATTTACCCCATCTACTGTATGAATAAAAGGTAGTGCTTCTGGCTATGGAATATAATCTAGTCTGCTGTGACTTTACAGCTTGTGTGAGAGGGAAAATATATTTCATGAGGACTTTATTTCCATTACACTAGGTTGTGAAGGTATCAGCCTTCCATCGTGTGTGTATATTTAAGTATGTGCGTATATATATGCTTAAAGGTGTACTGTTTTTTGAGGATGGGATTGGTTACTCTTTCCATTTAAAGTAGTCTGTTTGTTTTGTCTTTTAAATGACTGGTATTCTCACTATCAATGTTTGCCTTTTTTGTCATATCTAAGAAATCCACAGAAGTTTCCTGGTAACAGTCCAGAAATATGAATTGATGCCATTTCGGCAAGTTGGCAAATTTAAGTAGGGCTTACAATACGTGTTAAAATAGACTAAGTACACTATACACTAAGCGTACTTTATGCCTACAATATATACACCAAGAGAAACACTTCAAGCTGGGCAGTATTTTTCTCTTTCTACCAATGTTTTTGCTTCTTTTGCTCTTTTTTTTAGAATAGAGTCCACAATTGGCTACAGAAAAGTTATTTAAATTCTCAATCTCAGTGAGCAGTATTGTTCTAAAATTGAAAGGAATAGTCTCTAAGGAAGCAAACTAAATATTGTGTGAAGAATTTGTCTCTTGGGCAAATGTTTCCCATTTTCAGTTTCTTACAACTCAGCCCTCTCCAAGGAAGCTTCCTAATACTTTCATTTATAATCCAAATGATATTTCTGACAGCATATCTGCCTCCTCTGACCTGCCATTCATTCCTGCCTCCCCGTACAAGGAGCCATAGATGGCAACATGACCAGATAAAAAACTTTTCCTGAATTTTGGACATACTGTTATCTTTACAGTGTCGAGCAAGTAGAAAATAATTATTTTCCACTTAGGTATTTACTGGTCTCATATCTCATTAACTTTTTAAAGCCTCCCTCTGCATGCTTTGTATTGCTGCATCATGAGTTTTAATGCTGTAGTTTTGTGTGTGATTGCATTCCCAGAACAATGTATATTTACAGAAGCTAACTTCTAATAAAAGCTTACAGTTGCTTTAGAGTTTACGAAAGCGCTATCACATGTGTTTTGACATGCATGGCAGCCCTGGGAAGCAGGAAAGAATGCTCTTATTACCCCCACTTCACAGGTGATGGTGGTGAGTAGAAGAGAAATTTCCATTCTAGGGATGGAGTCAGAATTCAAAGTTAATCCTTTTCACTCCAAGTCTGGAATGCATTCTACTGGTCAATACTGTCATTCTGATAACAGATGGCTTACTTAATACATACTAAAAACATTAAATTATAGAACACAATATAATTAATTTTAATGGTGAAATGTATCTATCTACAAATTTCATTCTTTTTGAGATTACTCTTCTGAAATTCTTACTCTAGGAAAAAGCCACAACTATGCCTGTGACAATGTCTGATTGTTTATTTCCAGTACCTGTTAAAAAGCGTCTTGCCCATCAATGTATCCAGTTACAGTCTTTAAAAGCCAAATCCAACAAAATCTGCCCAAGGTTAAATAATAAAGAATAACTTTGTGCTTAAATATTTGTATTTAGATACCAACCGACATTAAATATATATGCAGAAATTAGAATATTTGCTTATTCATTAAACCTGTCAGTAATGTACTCAACAAACTGTATGTGGTACCCTCCATATTTCTGTGTGGGCGATCCTGGGATACCATGGAAATATACATTTTCTGTCAGGGAATACAGAGTAGAACACCTGTACTTCCTGATATCATCGTAGGGATACAGCATTACCTCTGATTACAAGTATCCAGGAATTCCGGCATGGCCAGAATAGAAATAATACATTTGTTTTCAAGGGTGATTATTTTTAAAGGTTTTATGTAGTTATATAGATTACAGTTTGTTATTTTAAATTATACCTGGATGTTTATTTCAAAGCTCATGCGCTTTCCTGAACAGAGGAAGTATCCTTTGCCTTTCCTGTGGAATTGATGAGACCAAATGTCGTCAAACCTACTTCCAAGGCTTCTGAAGAGCCGCCATAGTATAATGTGTCTTGTACCATCTCAGTGATTGATTTGGTAAGTGAAGGAAGAAATAATGTGAAAACATTTCTTCTGCTTTAGGTTGCCGGAACCAAAGCAAAACATAGAGCTAGCAGTATTATTGGTGGTCCATGCAAAAAATACAAATAAAATAATAAATCCATTTTTCATCATGTGCTGCCTCACAAACCCAAGAAAGTAACAATGATTTTTAAAACCAGAAGGAATATGTTGACTAAGAATCATCAGGCAAGAAGCAATATATGAGAGATGAGGTCACTAACCCATTCTGAAGGAAATAAAGCTGATGAAAATTATGAAGGAATTACATTGTCATAAACGATTATAAAATTTTGAGAGGTTTTTAATGATTACATAAACTTGTTCATTCCATTGCACCTTACAGTATTGAAATATAGCAACAAGATATCAAATATAAAAATAGCAATGCAAATATAGAAAAATTACTTTATCTTTCTTGAATCTTTTTAATGAAATAAAGCAAAAGGACTGCTAAGCTTAAGAAATTTAACACTAAAGAATACCAGTCTATCAAGAACAATGTCTATAAAAACTCTTTTAAACATTATCAAGGTGGATAACAACAGATGGAATTTTTAATATGTCTTGAAGATCCCAAATAGGAGGCTTGACTGGAATAAGTCAAATAGGATGTTTCTGCCAAGGAGGAGAGTGTGGTTGATAGGCTCCAAAAGTGACTGCCGTGTGTTCCACCTCCTGGTGTTCACACTTCATGTAATTACTGCCCCTGAGTATGGGCAAGACCTGGGACTTGTCTTTAGCCACTGGAAAATGGCCAAAGAGATGTGATGTCATTTGCATTATTATGTTGCATCCTCTTGCTAGCAGACTCTGCCTGATCCCTCTCTCATTTTATTTTCTTTTTTACTTTGAAGAAGCAAGCAACCACAAATCCTACAGCTGTACAGAACTGGATGCTGCCAACATGGAAACAGGAAAGTGGATGCGTCCTTAGACAAGCCTATGGATGAGAACCAACTCCAGATGATACCTTGACTGCTGCTCTGAAAGATCCTAATCATAGGACCCAAGGAAGCTCTGCCTGGACTCCGGAGTCACACAAACAGATGTGTTGTTTTAATCCACTACATTCAGTGGTGGTAAATTGTGTTACACAGCAATATATAATGAATATCATGTAAGTTTGGTTTGGTAGCTGTAGACATTAGAACATCTGTGAGAAAGCAAGTGTCTACTTAAAATGTGACATTCCAAATAATATCCAAATACCTCCAGGCACCACAGTCTGAGAGAGAGAAGGAGAGAGACAGAGAGATGGAGAGAGAGACAACGAGAAGCAAAGTGAATAGTAGTTCAATGGGTTGTTTTCGTTTGGAATTTAGTGAGGTTTGGGCCATAAGAAATTCTATCCCAGTGCCCAGGAGACAGAAGATGACAGACTTGGGCTGGGAAATAGAAACATTTTTTATATCGTCTCCCTCCCTCTCCCCACCATCTTAGCCTATTCTCTCTGGGCGATGGAGCACAAAGCTGTGAATGGCCCCTTCCTGAGCCACTTGGGTTCTTAATCCTGTGTTAGGCCCAGCTCTCCCCCTAAACTTCCTTGCTCATTAATAAACTTTGGACAGAACACGTAAGTGTGTGGGGAGAGTGTTTTAGAAGAGCAACCAAGATATCCCAAAGTACTGCTAACTTGCTGACTTTACAGAATTTAATTTTATTTTTTTCACTCTACAACCTCCACATCCTGAATCACATTATACAACCACAGCAGTAGCTGGAATATCTATTGAGCTGGGCGGAGGCTGCAGGAAAGGTTGATAATGACATCGTTTCCCTTTTGTTGCTTTACTTATTTTCAATCAAATTGACTGCTTATTCTGATTGGGACGTGGAAGTATGAGTTTTAGAGGAAGCAGAATGAATGGAGGACCAAAAACACAATAGTCCGGAGAAAGAGGAGGCACGTGGGCGAGATGATGGAGAAGTAGGGTTGATCAGTGTAGCCATGAACTAAGCTTACTTCACCCCCAGTTACTCAACTGGTCACACCCACTGTTGCCTGTCTGACTCTCTCGGAGCCCGTGTAATCTGCAGTGGGCCACATGGCCCAAAGTTTGAAAACTTGCCTAACAATAATAGCCACAATTTACTGAATGATTACCCGATGCCAATTACTACGGCACACTTTAAAAATACATTATCTGGCTGGGTGTGGTGGCCCACCCCTGGAATCCCAGCACTTTGGGAGGCTGATGCGGGTGGATTGTTTGAGGCCAGGAGTATGATACCAGCCTGGCCAACACGGCAAAACCCTGCCTTTACTGAAAATACAAAAATTAGCTGGGTGTGGTGACACACACCTGTAATCCCAGCTACTCAGGAGGCTGAGGTGGGAGAATCGCTTGAACCCAGGAGGTGGAGGTTGCAGTGAGCTGAGATCATGCCACTGCACTCCAGCCTGGCGACACAGCAAGAGTCTGTCTTCAAAAAAATAAGTTAAATAAATAAAATAAAATATATTATTCACATTTCACCCTTACCAGAGAAGTGAGCTCAATTTTGACATAAAGATAATTGAGACAGAAAGTTGATTTAAAACACACTGAGTTCTGACAGCTGCTAAAATGAAAAGCAGAGAAACAAATCCAGGCATCTTGACTGTAAGGCTTGAACTCCTAATCCCTACATTCCTATACTTCACCCACATTATATGAAAATCTTCAGGTTTCTCTGAAGTTAGAGTTCCATTACTCTCAAGTCTGTATTTTTATTGGATGTTCTATTTTATGAGACGTCCCTGAGACTATTTGGGTTAAAATTTTCTTCAGGCACAAGCCTTGAAAATATTTCTACCCGCAAAATTATTTCATACATTTTGTACTGAAAATAATATATATTTCCATTTGTTTTCATGAAACGAAATAAGATAAACTAAATGCTAACATCTTTACACCAAAATGAGGTTACATCAAAGTAATCCAACTACAGGAGCTGTTTTCATTTCATATTCAAAATAGCCAAATTTGTCATTATTCTAAATGACATGTCATTTGGATTAGACCTAAAGGTCAAGGAAATGTAAAGCATGTTATCTTTAAATAAATGGAGCTACCAGTCAATGCCCTTTACTCATACTTCTAGCACCATTACTCACCAGATACTCTGTGATCAAGTAAATGATGTTGAACGCTAGTGACGTGCTTTGCTCGTTTACTTCTGAACTGTCTTCTAGTGCCAGAGAGAAGATTGGACTCACACTAGAGAGAAAAGGAGGTTGAGCAGATAGATAATACCACTGGAGAAGATGCTGAAATGAGCTGAGTTTATTTTTAACAGCTTCTAACTGTAATTTCTCTCTTGACTTCTAGACACAGATTTGTCAAAGAAGCCACGGTTAGAATAGGACAAACTATGAGTTTCAGGAACTCCATTCAGATTAGGAGTAGAAAAATGGTCTCAGGGATTTAACTCTGGGAAAGATTCCTCATCTTAGACATAACTAAGACATGCATGGATTTAATTCAGTCAAAACTTTTTACATCAAACCGTTTAACTAGAAGTGGATACATTATTTTGTGGATTCAATTGTTCCCAGAAGTCTGCTATTATGAGACATTCCATCGTAAGTCACTATCACTGTTATCACTGACAAACTTCTGTTAAATCCTTGCTATTAAAGTTTGTATATAGCATTACAACATACAAGCATTTCCAATGATAGTGCTGTGTACTATGTTATATGTAACATATATGATTGTGATATGTATCACATAAAAGCCTTACCAAAGTTGAAATATAACTATGCAAAGTAATTTTCAATACTCAGCAATTATAATATAATTGTAGAGCTCTTTATTCAGAAAATTTTCTAATTTTGTACATGTCCCTTTAGTTTGCAACATTAATATAGAAATTATAATTTTACTAAGTATTTTCCTTAGTTTTTGTCATAGTGCATAGTATACACCTGTCCCTAAAAATCCATATTCTATTTTCTTCATTTCAAAGACAAATGTATTTAATACAAAACTAGATTTTAAATAATAGTTTTATGCTAGACTGCTAGCATATCAATATACCAGAAAGAATATTGATTGGAAGTAATGAATACAATTCCAATGGCAATAAAAATGAAAAGAAACTTGTACTGTTGATAAATGCTAATGAAAAAGAGGTCTCATTTTTTCTGAAACCAGTAAAAAGGTGCAGTTTCTTCAGCGAGAAATACAGTTTTCACCAAGGACCCAGAGATTGTATTATTTTGTTTCTTATTTATCAAGCAACAACTAAAAATTTTAGAGTTTTAGTTGTTTATTTGTTTTAGGCTAAAAACAAATGAAAATTTGAAACGGAAAAAAAAAATCACAGGAAAAGGAGTTGTGATGGTAGCAATTCCTCAATAACCAGGGGACCTAGCAGCAACTCTGAGCCTAATTGTGACCCACAAGAAGAAAGTGGTTTTTGAACTTTCACAGAAACCATGAAGAAAAGCGATCATGCCACTTTTCAGTTTGTAAAAGCAAAGAATGGGATCTGGCTATCAGACTGTAATTTGGGAAGGTTGATCTCAAAAATTTGATTTTTTTAAATTTAAATATTTTCTTCTACCTCAGGCATGTGAAGATCTCAAGAATTAGAAGAGAATAAAGGCTATAAATCCTCTGAAATGAAAACCAAGGAAGATTTGGAAACTTTCAAAAATTCAATTTGGACTAAAAATGCAAATAATCTGATTGATGAAGGAAGAAAAAATTAGATATCTAAAATGTGATTAAATAAAAACTCCCTGGTCATCTCAGATTTTTTAAATATTAAAAAATGTTTGGTTGGGTGCGGTGGCTCTCGCCTGTAATCCCAGCACTTTGAGACGCGGAGGTGGGCAGATCACGAGGTCAGGAGATCGAGACCATCCTGGCTAACACGGTGAAACTCCGTCTCTACTAAAAAGACAAAAAATTAGCCGGGTGTTATGGCATGCACCTGTAGTCCCAGCTACTTGGGAGGCTGAGGCAGGAGAATAGCTTGAATCCAGGAGGTGAAGGTTGCAGTGAGCTCAGATCGTGCCACTGAACTTCTGCCTTGCGACAGAGTGAGACTCCATCTTAAAAAAAAGTTTAAAGGCAAAAGCAACAATAACGATGACTAGGAAAACATAAAACATATTGTGCTTACTTCTGCTTGGTGGAATCATGATATACGTAGGAGTGGGTGATTCTTTTTCTGTCTAAGAAATGTTCTATAGGGATCTACATTGTTTTTAAACTTGGAATTAACCATAAATAATTTTTAAAAATGAAAATATGGGATTATAACCAAAGCCAAATACAAGAGGGTGACACAAAACGTAAGAATTGCCTGAGAGCCAACCAAGGTGGCTCAGCCTGTAATCCCAGCATTTTGGGAGACTAGGAGGATCTCCTGAGCCCAGGAATTCCACGCAAGCCTGAGCGACATAGTGAGAACTCATTGCTACTAAAAAAAAAAAAAAAATGAAATTAGTTGGGCATGGTAACGTGTGTCTATAGTCCCAGCTACTCTGGAGACTGAGGTGGGAGGATCACTTGAACTCGAGAGGTTGAGGCTGCAGTCCAACCTGGGCAACAGAGCAGCAAGACACTGTCTAAAAAAATAAATAAATAAAAAGAATTGCCTAAGGAAGGCTAAATGTCACACACAAACTATTTTTGCGACCTAAAAAAAAAAGAGAGAGAGAGAAAGATGTTAGCCATAGGCAAGAAAGGAAGAAAAGGGGAAGGGAAGAGAAAAAGGAGGGAAGGGGAAAGAGAGGGGATGGAAAAGTCCAAGTATCCATGAAACTGAGAGATGGATATTTGTGGGGAATTAGGAAAAAAAAAAATTGCCCAAATCTTGTCTCTGTTTTTCAGTGAAGGAGACTGATCTTTGCACCAGAACGGGTAGAATAAACATTGAAAAGGTGCAAACATAACCTGGGCTGAGAGAGAGAGGGGACTCTTCAGATGAGATCAAGTGTTCCATCCCAGGACTCAGAATAATATTGATTGGAAGGCATTCTATTGTATATGAGTAGGAAAATGAATCCTATTTGGTCCATAGAAATGGAATATTTTAAGTCCATAAATTAGGGATGATCTTGAGGAAAAAAGACAAGTTAAATAGAATGGATTATGCTTATGAGAATGAGACTGAATTGGCTGGAGTTCATCTGATTGTGCCTATGCCTGTTAGAACTTCCTCAAAGTTGCCGTGGCAATGGGACTCTCTCTCATGCAGAGAGGAGAAAAGCAGTGGATACTAAGTAATGTGGGCTTGAGTAATGCATGTTGCAGTTAATTGCACTATGTCAGAAATTTACGGGAAAGGTTTGGGAGAGGTTTATTTAGTGGACAAAATATGGCCTCAGGAATAAATGACAATGGATTTTCAATAAAAAGGAGTTTACTGAGCCTATGCCTTCAGAAACAACTGAAGTGTTATAAATCTGCAAGCATGGTCAGAGTTAGTACCAGTAAGCCAGGTCTTTATCGGTCACTATTACCTCTCCCTGACCTTCTTGATGTGTACTGTATGAAAAGTGGTAGAGCTCATTTTCCTAAAAGCTTCGGATAACAAACTTGAGTTACTTACCGATATGACAGCTTGCTACTTTAAATTTTTCCTCTCTTGTTGCCACAAAGGAAGTTAAAAACCACCTAGAGGGATTTGGAAAAGTAGCTGTTGTCACAGAGAACTTGGAGCTACTCTGAGATCATGGAACCACTGTCATTAATTTTTGAGAAATCTTGGCAAATAAGAGAAGTGCTAGGAGGCTGCACATTAGCAAATTTTGCTCCAATTTTACAAACTAGGAAGAAAAAGTGGTTTTTACCAACCTGAGACCTCATCAATGACAACTGTTCAAAATCTGGAATGCAAGATGAAAAGTGGATTGGAAGAATCTGGAAAAGAAAGCATAGAATGAAAGAACAGTCGATGTCATAGCCAACCCATTTATTTTACTAGTCTGGCAGATTAAGGAAGTATCTGGACTTCAGCAAGGTTTTGATAAGGTTTCTCTTTATTTTCCTGGAAACAAGGTAGATTAATAAAGGTTTGTCCAGAAGCATTGAGAAGCATAACTACATTCATGGGGCTCTGATCCTTGGAGTAACGTCAATTAGCATAGACCTAAAAAAGGTGAAAATCTCAGGTGAGAATCTTTGTTCTCAGCCTCATATCTTTACAATTGAATAAAGACATACAGAGTAGGTTCATCAATTCTAGAATTGCAAAATGCCAGGGAGAATAGCAAATACATTTGAAGATCAAGGTCTGAGACTACCCTTTGTCTTGGTTGATTTTGTGTTGCTATATCAGAATACCCAAGACTGGGTAATTTATAAAGCAAATACGTTTATTTAGCTACGGTTCTGCACACTGGGAAGTCCAAGTTCAGGCCGCCAATCTGGTGAGACCTCGTGCTGTTTCAACTCATGGCAGAAAGCAGAAGGAAGGAGAAGTAGGCATGTGCAGAGAGACAAAAGATAAGAGGCAACCCCATTTTATAACACCCTACACATATGGGAACAAATCCATTCCCAGAGAACTAACACAGTCTTCTGAGAAATCCATCTTTAGGACCTAAGCACGTTTTAAAGGTACCACCTCCTAACACTGCTACATTGGCAATTAAATGCAATTAAATTCCAACATAAGTTTGGGCAGGGAGAAACCACACCCAAATTGTAATACCATTTTACTTTTTCCCTAATAGGTTAAATCCAGCAAGACGTACTTTATACAAG
The DNA here is from genome assembly GCF_000001405.40 of Homo sapiens. NCBI lineage: Eukaryota > Metazoa > Chordata > Mammalia > Primates > Hominidae > Homo > Homo sapiens. The sequence goes on along the minus strand of NC_000008.11, from coordinate 15,893,322 downwards.
AGTACAAAAACTTAGCACTTGAATTTTTTAAATAAATCACATTAATTAAATGTAGAAGATATGAATTAGTACTAGCACATTCAGGAAAACATAATACTTTTAGTTGAAAATAAGAACCACATGAATTAAAAAGACTATTTTAAACTTATGTAACTTTAGAAGCTTCAAAGAACTATGGTATTTAAAACACACCTCTCTTTACACTGCCTGGAGAAATACGCTTGAAAACAGGGAGACAGATGGGAAGGTGTCCTGAGGAGAACTACCAATGAGATCAACATTTGAAAATCATGAGAGACAAAACATGCTTGAATTTGGATTGTTTATCCCAGAAGAGACTCAGGAAGACATCCAAGTCACCTTCAAACATTCAGAGAAGTCATGTGGAACAAGAATAGACTTGTTTTTGTCACAAAGGATAACTGAGATCAGTAGGCAGAAGCAACAAAGAAGTAGATTTCATCAAATACAGTAAAAACTATTGCAACAGAGATGTCCAAAAAGGAAAATCATTGCTTGGAGAGATAAAGTTCTTTAGGACCCAAGGTAATCAATCACAGCCAAATAGCAATTTGGCAAAGATGTTATAGAGAAGATTCAATTCTACAACACAGAGTTGTCAAATCTGGCTCATCTGCTGGAATCACCTTAGGACATTTTTTAAATGACAGATCCTTGGTTTTTACATACATCTACAGTACCAGGATCTCCAGGAATGGGAAAGTAAGTGGTTTTTTAATTTTTTTTAAAGCATCGTAGGTGATTCAGATGATCATTTTGGTTTGACAAACACTAGATGATTTCTAAGTCTTTTCCTAATCTAAAATGTTATAATTAAGGCAGCCTAGTGAATTGGTTGCAATTAAAGTTGGTGGTAAAAAAAAAAAAAAAAAAAAAAAAAAAAAAAAAAAAAAAAACAATGGAACCTTTAATGAGAATGAGGATGGAACACATAAACATCTGGCATCCTAGCTTTCCTACATAAGGATTATGTAGTGCACCAGAATGTTCTCAGAAACCCTTTTCAAATCAGTTTAATGATAAAGTTTGTCATATTTTATTTTTTCCTAGATAGAAACTGATGAAGTTTGTCATAGTTTATTTTTTCCTAGATAGACTTGTATATGTACATATGCATCAGTGTTTGTGACAATTTTTTTTTAACTATAGAGACTTGAATAAAAAAGACCTTTTTTTTTCAGGCAGGATCTTGCTCTGTCATTCGGGCTGGAGCACAGTGGAATGACTCTAGCTTCCTGTAGCCTCAAACTCCTGGCCTCAAGCGATCCTCTTGCCTCATCCTCCCACGTAGCTGGGACTACAGACACACTACACGATGCCCAGCTAATAAAAAAAAATTTTTATAGACACAAGGTCCCCCTATGTTGTCCAGGCTGATCTTGAACTCCTGGGCTCAAGCAATCTTCTGCTTGGGCCACCCAAAATGCTGGGATTACAGGCATGAGCCACTGTGCCCAGCCATAAGCCTATCTGACACCTTGAAACAGACTAGTTTTAAAACAGAGATTATGGTCCATGTATGGACCAGGTATGGTCCAATGTATTTAAGTCAATATTCATAAAATGTAGTGCTCTTCCAGTGGAGTAGAACAAGTTTGCAGTTGAAATTTGTACTAAGATTCTAAGCAAATTACTCTTTGGCATTTTGAAATGATAATTTCATGCAAAACTTAGATTTATTTAATTTGTTTCAGAGAATCACATCCTTAAAGAATAAACGTATAAACTACAAGTTTTAGTCAGAGACATTTTAAACTTATTTTAGGTTGTAATAGTTCTTTTGAACTATTTAAAAACCATAATATGCATTCAGTTCCCTTTACTTTACATTCAAAAATGGTTAAAGTGCTTCTCTTAAATTTGGATCTCCATAGCAAGGCAAATGGCTGAAGAGATATGAAATCTTTACGGAAAGGAACTGTTATGATCATAGGAAAAATTCACTTGAAAGAAGAAAAAATTCAAGATTCCAGTAGCAGAAAAGCCAAGGTTTTAGGCAGCACTATGGATAAGGAAAGACACAATGTGCTTTATAGAAGGAGAAGACACTTCCTATTCACTATCAAAACAATATGATCTCCAGTTTCCTTTGTAAAAATTAAATACACATAGAAAACTGAAGGCAAGGGTAGAATTTCAGGGTGCATAGTCAAAGCTGCTAGCTTCAGTTTTTAAAGTTTTGCGATTGCTGCTATATTATAGCGAACGTTTCTATGACAAAAATGTTTTTCCATCGTATGTTCTCACTCATGTGGGATCTAAGCTATGAGGAGGCAAAGGCATAAGTATCATAACATTGGACTTTGGGGACTTGGTGGAAAGGCTAGTGGGTGGCAAAGAATAAATGACTACACATTGGGTACAGTGTACACTCCTCGGGCGATGGATGTACCAAAATCTCAGAAATCACCACTATAAGAACTCATTCACGTAAACGAACACCACCTGTTCCCCAAAACCTATTGAAATAAAAAAATTTTAATGTTTTTGTATTGCCAATTCATTAACAATTAGAAAAGGAGATCAGAAAGAGGTACTAATTAAGTACCTCCTGTATCACGGGAAATTTATAAACTATTACAGTTAATATTCACAACTTTCTATAAAAGGAAATATTATCCCCATTCTACAAATGGGGGAAACTGAGACCCTGTCAGATTACAGGATGTAGTTTTTTTTTTTGTAGTTGTTGTTTTGAGACGGAGTCTCACTCTGTTGACCAGGCTGGAGTGCAGTGTTGTGTAATCTCGGCTCACTGCAACCTCTGCCTCCCAGGTTCAAGCGATTCTCCTGCCTCAGCCTCCCGAGTAGCTGGGATTACAGGCACACACCACCACGCCTGGCTAATTTTTGTATTTTTAGTAGAGACAGGGTTTCACCATGTTGATCAGGCTGGTCTTGAACTCCTGACCTCGTGATCTGCCACCCTCAGCCTCCCAAAGTGTGAGGACTACAGGCATGAGCCACTGCGCCTGGCCGTAGTTTTTATAATAATTCGGACATGCAGCCCTTTCGGAATTCCAATGAATTACATTTTATCTATCACCATAGGATTCTACACAGCTGGTTGCATGTTCTAGTTCATTCTAGATAATTCAATTCATAATTTTGCAGCTAATTCTGAATTATATGAATTATAAACTTGGGCCGCTATTAAACCCTTGTGGGTGCTCCCGTATCCTAAAATTAGGATGATAGTCAATATATTCATTTATACCAATTTGATTTTCTCAGCCTTAGAAAGTAGGTGTATTTCATATCATCTTTATTTTTGGAGGAGGAAATCTGCACGATTTAATGGCTGCCGAAATTCGTACTGCTAATGTGGTAGAGCCAGATTCTGATTCTGAAAGTCTAACTTTAGAACCTGCATTGAGAGCCACTCTTACGCACTGCCTCCCTGATTCGGAATGTATACACAGGTGATATAAATAAAATAAGCTCTTGGTGAAACAGAGCAGTTTTTTAAAAAGGCATCTCTGAAGAAATCACTAAGTTGAATTCAGTATATTATATTCCATTATATATTACAAATACATCTGCATGTTATACATACAGCTCTGAAGAAATCACTAAGTTGAGTTCAGTATATTATACTCCATTATATATTACAAATACATCTGCATGTTATACATACAGCCTACATGGAATTTCTAGTGAGACACAGAAAATGCAGTCATCAAAAATTCAACTTGCTTGATGTTTATGCTACTTGATTTTCCCCAGTTCCTACCTTTGTGTACGTCCTTTTTATTGGTATTCCCCTGCTCTGACATTTTTATTCCAAGCAAGTAGAAATGACAGCCAAAAAGCCTTGATGTATATGAGGCTTCAGAAGGAATTTTAAAAGGTTATTGGCCCATAGAACAGGAGGATTTGCACCTAAGTCGTATCAGGACTGAGGATCTGAAAGTGCTGCAAAGCCTGAATGTACTGGATGGCCAGCAAGTGCAACTTAGTGAAGATTTAGTATTAATACCATTGGGTCAGATAAATTATTCTGAGGCTTTATCAGTAACAGGAATCACTGTAAATAGGTTGCTGTTTTATCTCCCTTCTCTCTCCTCTGCTAATCCTACTAGATTAGAAATTTGCAGTCTCATCTAAATGCAAGTCTGCTGGAAAAGAGTTGCCATCTATGCTATACATTACTATATATGTAGTTTCTAGTGCTCAGATGCACATAAAGATTAATCAAAATATCTTGAATTGCCAATATTCAGGATCACAAATTTAACTGAAGTATGTATTCAATGCAGCAGGGATACTTATGAACAGATTTCTTTTTTCCACAGCTGAAATAAGTTTTCTGGTTTTTTTTTTTTCCTGAGACTAAAGGAGAGGAATGTCATTTCCTAGTCCTACTGCCATCTTAGAGTCTGTTCTTGTCTGTGAGAGGTCTCCAAGGCACACAGTTTCCACCTTGAGCAAGGGAAGGAGGGCTCTGCCCTCCAGGTTCATAGTGAAACCAGAGCTGCCTAGATGGAAGCAGGACTGCAGAGGGGCACGTCCTGAAGCTTCCATCCCACCCTCGACAGAGTCACTGAACTTCAAGACAGCAGAGTCCAAAGTGACTGTTCACTCCAAAGGAGGTCTAGCTTGTGAAAGTGATTGATTGATCATTTCTCTGTCAAATGCAATGGTAAATTTAAAGGAGAATGGAGCTATAATCCCAAAAGAAAAGTTAAACAGAAATTAACACAGTGAAAAAGCCACGAATTAGTGAGTCAAACTCACTAATTCAGAGAAAATCGAAAAAAAATCAAAACATTATCTAGCATGAAAACTTTAAAAGCAAATTTAAACACCCACAAATTGAAATTGATTGACTCAAATAGGTAACTTTTCAATTCATTTTGCTAGGGACATATACACATGAGCTAATAAAGAAATGCAAAATATTCTCCCAAAAAAAAAAATTTTTTTCAGAGAATCACGAAGGAAGTACACATCACTGCCTATAAAGCACTATCTTCAAAAAAATTGAAATTGAATCTGATCAGGTATCTAGATCTAACTGCCAGGTTACAGGAAATACAAAGCACAGAGACACGTGTTAAATGATAGCACAGAGATGAATGAGCAAAACCCAAACTGTGGGGGACACTGTCTGGCCGAGCTTCTTCAGCTTGGAAATTTCTGAAGGGGAAAAAAATGGAAAGAAAACTATAAAAGAGCCTTAAAAACCAAACTAAGCAATTTCAATATACTTTATAAAACTTATAAAACTTACTTTAACAACCTGTAAAAAAAAATCTGATAGGACATTTGAATGTTTGACTGGATATTTGATGCTATTAAGGAACGATTGTCAATGTTTTTAGCATGATAATGGTTTCCTTGCCTATGTTCTCTTCTGTCTCTCTCTGTCTCTCACTCTCTCTCTCTCTCCTCCTCCCTCCCTCCATTTTCTCTGACATTACATTTTTTACTTGTAGCATTTCCTTTTGGCTTTTTAAAAAATAATTTTGATCTTTGCCAAAATTGCACATCTGTTCATGCACACTCTCCACCTCTTTATTTAATCTGTTTTTCTTTTTAAAGCCCCTGTCTGATAGTTCCATTTGAGCCATCCCAGGTCTGATTTTATAGACCCTCTCGATGATGGGTCTAATTTTATTGCTTTTCTGTGGTGTTTCATAATGTTTTCTTGTATGTCAGACATTGTGTATAAAATAGTAAAAACTGAAGTCAAAAAGACACTCAGAAAAAGACACTCCTCTCCTGCGAAGCTGCTGGGGGAGGGGAGGAAGAAGGGTGTGGTCTTAGCTGAGCCAGCATCTTCTGTTCTTGAACTGGGAATGGGCCTTATCATTGCTTTAGTTAGATTCAGTGTCAGGTTGGCTGCTGATGGTAGGTGGGCAGGATCAGAAACGTCCCTTCAGCAGGGCTTGAAATCTGATTGGCCAGCGATCTCTTCTCAGTTCTTTTGCCCCTCCCTCAGCCTGCTGCAAGTCCAGGATATAAGGGGGCTGTCTGTTAGCTCTCACTTCCTCATTCTCTAGACTCAGCAAGGCCTGAAGGGATTGTCTCAGGCTCCTCCACTCCAGCCTTCTAAGGGCCCAAAGTGGTTCAGAGGGGACGCTCTCAGCGTTCCTTCTCTTCCAACAGCTGTGACAACCTCTGACTCATGCCTGGGACAATTTCTCTCAGTTCTGGTGTACCTCCAGTCCTCTGTGTGAGCACTTGATGAAGAACCCTGAGAAAGAGTGGACAGGTGAGCGTCATTCTTTTTGGCGGGGGCTTCTCGGGATTCTAAACTCTCAAGCCAGGTCACACTCAGCCTTTAACAAATGTTGTCATCAGCTGATTTCTTTTTAACCCCATCTACAGTGGTATTTTTTTTCCTCCTCCTGCTGCTCTGCCAAGCATGAAAGCAACCTTGGATCACTTCTGAAAGGAGCGCCCCATTGTCAATTACAGAATCCAAAATGGCAATATAAAAAAGGGAAAGAGAAAATTTTCAAAAGTTGCTTTTTGTTTTAAAATAAGACAGGAGTGTTTCTTAAGGGTTCTCATAATGGGAACATTGGAGAATGTAATAACAAAATAAGGATGTCCGCAACCACCTCAGAAACAATGATGAATTTCTGGCCGGGTGTGGTGGCTCATGTCTGTAATCCCAGCACTTTGGGAGGCTGAGGGGCGCGAATCACCTGAGGTCAAGAGTTTGAGACCAGCCTAGCCAACATGGTGGAAACCCTTCTCTACTAAAAATAACTAGCCGGGCACACCTGTAATCCCAGCTACTCATGAGGCTGAGGTAGGAGAATCGCTTGAACCTGGGAGGCAGAGGTTGCAGTTAGCCGAGATCGTGCCGCTGCTCTCCAGCCTGGGCAACAGAGCACCTCTCCATCTCAAAGAAGAAAAAGGAAAAAAGAGATTAATTTCTTAGAACTTTTATTAGAGGATCTTTGAATAGCGTGGATGACATCATACAAAAGCATAGGTCAGCAAAGATAATTTAACACAGGCTTTGTCAGTTAGCGCCACTTGTCCAGACTGTTTGGGAAAACACATTAGTTTTTTGTCCTTTAAGTTGTTTTCCCTAAATATTTTTTTCGAAGTTGAGTTCCCAACCAGAAGTGCTTATATATTCTTCCAGCCCAGTATTCTACCTCTCTCCAGGGCAGTATTTGGGTACAAAGTGGAAGCTGATGTAACACATGAGAGGGAAACAGGACCTGTGGTCCTCCTGCTTTCCTCTGACTATCATGGTGATGTCTCGTTCGTTCTTGTTTTCCACTCCTAATGCGAGTCATTATTGTCTCTTGGGAATTATGGTGATTGCTTTCAAGCAGCTCAGCCCCTTTGATCTCTTAATGCTTGTATGACCCTATCACTCAGCAATACCATACATCTAGCTCTGGCTTTCAGTGGTCTCCTTTGACTCATTTTAGGGCCTGTAGCTCCATGCTGCTATCCTCATCTGGGAGAAACATTGCTGCTTAATTTATTTATTTATTTATTTATTTTTTTGGTGATACAGAGTCTCGCTCTGTCGCCCAGGTTGGAGTGCAGTAGCGCGATCTCGGCTCACTGCAAGCTCCGATTCCCGGGTTCACGCCATTCTCCTGCCTTAGCCTCCTGAGTTGCTGGGACTACAGGCTCCCGCCACTACGCCCGGCTAATTTTTTTTTCTCTTTTTTTTCTTTCTTTTTTTTTTTTTTTTTTTTTAAGTAGAGACGGGTTTTCACCGTGTTAACCAGGATGACCTCGATCTCCTGTCTTCATGATCCTCCTGCCTCGGCTTCCCAAAGTGCTGGGATTACAGGCGTGAGCCACCGCGCCCGGCCGACTCTTAATTCTTAGCCAGTGTCTCCACCCCGTTCAAGGAGTCCAGCACCTTTATTGGAGCTTTTCCTACCCTGAATCTGGAGAGCCCAGTTGGAAAAAAGAGGTTATCCCATGGCTTCTTTCTATGGGAGCTCCACTGGAACCAGTTTTGCTCGCTTGAAGTGATGCCATGGATTGAGGGCACCATGGAAATTGCCAGGAACGTGAGGCAAAAGTGTCTTTTTTTTTTTTTTTGAGATGGAGTCTCGCTCTGTGGCCCAGGCTGGAGTGCAGTGGCGCCGTCTCAGCTCACTGCAAGCTTCGCCTCCCGGGTTCACGCCATTCTCCTGCCTCAGCCTCCCCAGTAGCTGGGACTACAGGCGCCCGCCTCCACGCCCGGCTAATTTGTATTTTTAGTAGAGACGGGGTTTCACCGTCTTAGTCAGGATGGTCTCGATCTCCTAACCTCCTGATCCACCTGCTTCGGCCTGCCAAAGTGCTGGGATTACAGGCATGAGCCACTGCACCCGTCCAAAAGTGCCTTTTACCCTCTGATTTGCAAGCACAGGACTTCTGTTGTTTTTTCCACCTCCACCCCTCAATTCAACTATGGTAGAAGACAAGAAGAAAACCCTTTTAGAGTTACTCTTACATGCAACGTCTTTCCTGTAAAGTGTCTGCCACTACCTTATAAGGGTTTTTCATTGCAATTTTGGCCTTAATTCATGTTCTGAATCTTCTGCATTCTATGATTAACTTTTAAAAATTCTGTGCTCTAGTTCTGCAGGCTAGATCCTAGTCGTTCAGTACCGAGTTTAAATTTTCTTACTGTGATACAGTTGACAGACGCTGCATTTTAATGGTGAAATTCTAAAATACTTCCTTTTACGTTGGAAGTGAAACAAAGGTGGTCATTACAATCAATTTTATTCAACCTGATACTGGCAGTTCTAGTCAGTAAAGTAAGAAAAGCAGAGGCGATAAAAAACATAAAGATTAGAAGGCAAGGAATGAAGCTGTCTTTATTTGTAGATTATACTGTGTATATAGAAAATCTACAAATCAACTGTTAGAAGAGTTTCATGAAGATGTTGGATATAAGGCTGATAGACAAAAATTAACTGGATTTTTAAGTAACTAGAAACAAACTTCAAAGAGAGACCATTTAAAATAGTATCTGATACATCAAATAACTGTCAATAAATATAAAGAAAGATGTGCCATACCTCTTTGCAAAAACTGTAAAACAATGAGAGAATTTGAAGAAAACTCAGACAGAGGGAGAGTCATACTTATCCATTAGAAGTACAGTATTTAATGATATCTGTTCTCAAAATACATTTATTGTACTTCTAAGCAAATTTCTAAAGGAATCTTTATGAAAAGTGATTCTATTAGTAATTCTAAAAAATATATGGAAAGGCAAATGGCAATAAAACTAAGACACACTTTAAAAAGAATAGAAAATGTAAAGATTTGTTCTACTAGACGTAAAAACAAAGTTAAGTTACAGGAATAGATTGTAGGAAGGATAGACAATTAGATCAATTTAACAGTGATCAGAAACAGACCCATGCATGTATTAGCAATTTATCATAAAGGTAGCAATGCTCAATAGTCTTAGGGTATGGGTGAACTTTTAAATAAATTATCCTAGGGGTAAATGGATACTGATAAGCAGGAAATTTTGAAAATCAATGTGAATCCATCACCATACCTGAAAATTTCAGGTGAATTTTTTATCTAAATGAAAAATAAATCATAAAGAGAGTATCTATGTGAAGTCAGCATGTTCCTTCTCAAAAGGAACATAAAAATTACTAAGCAGAATTGAGAGGATTGTTAGATTTGACACATTAAAATTAAGACTTTCTGTTAGAAGAAAAAGTTAAAGGACAAGCTTCATATAACTGAAAAATGATGTATGTCCACAATAAACAAAAACAATTGCAAATCAAGGAAAAGATAGACAAACCAGTGGAATAGTGGGCAAAAGATCCAGACAGTAAACAAAAGTGAGTATGCCAACAGCATGTATGTGAATAAATATTCAATTTTGTGTGTCACCAAATAAATGTATATTAAAAGTTCAATGAGATACCATCACAGAGAGATACCTACACCCAGACTTGCTAAATATGAAAAGAATGACAACTCCAAAGGTTTACAAGGATCTGGGACAAATGGAATTCCCTACAGGGTTGGTGAAATTATATAAATTGGTACTAATATTTTGCAAAATTGTTTGTCAGTATCTGCAAATGCTGAACAAATGTGTAACAATTTATAATCTAGCAGTTCTATTCCTAGGTATAGACCCAACAAATTTTATGTGTCTGAAGAAGCATGGTAAAAAATTTTATAACAATAGTATTTGTAAACTAAAACTAGGAAAAAAACAAGATGTTCCTTAGCAGTGGAATGGATTAATATGTTGCGTTATGTTTATCAGCAGAAAACTATTGAAGAAGATTGCATGTGAATGAATTAGTGCTACACTCGACAACGTGAATAGATCTCACAATCATACTGTTGAGGAAATGAAGCCCGCTACAAAATATCACATATCATATGATTGCATTTAAACTATAGCATTTAGGGATACCTGCCTGGGAGATAAAACTATAAAGGAAAGTAAGAAAATTAGCATTATGGTTACCTTTGTGGGGGGAAGTGAATTGTGATTGAGAGGGCACAGGCAGGAAGTTTATTTGATGCTGACAATATCCTCTTTTCTAACCTCCGATTGTAGTAAACTACTGAGCTATGCATTTTTGTTTTTAAACTTTTCTGTAAGGGAGCTATAGTAAACATACACAACCACCCACATGAATGATTAACGAAAAAGCTACATAGTTGAATGGGTCTATATATTTTGATGGAGCATTTGGGAGTGGGAGATTGAGTGGGAATAATGAAGTGAAAATAATGCAGCCATTTGTAGGAAAGTGTACAGTCGATTAGCTAAAATTTCAATGAAAACAAACAAATCTTCTTTACCGTAGATGAATAATAGTGAGGCTTGTTCATGTATGGGTAAAGCAAATGCTAGGTTTTATCCCGATGAAGTACTATATATTAAAGAAATTAATGTTCTAATGAAAACATGCATGAAAAGAAATAAATGGTTAGCATTTTCACTTGTAAAGTAGGCTCATGGCAGGCTTCTCACATTGAAGGCAGATCTTTTAAGTGCCAACTGAGTCAGAAGGAATGACTACCGAATGCCAAATGCAAATGAATATAATCATAAAAAATGTGAAGTGTAAGCTGATTTCATTTTGGCGAAAAGAAAGGGAATAAAAGAGTCATTGAAGAACAGAAATAGAAATGTTGAAGTTAATGGAGCTTGCCTGAAGACACTCTCCATCACAGCCAGGTTGGGATCATAAACTGTGGGTAATAATGAAAGATGAAAGGACATAGCAATACAATATTTATTTTTTAAAATAAATTTATCAGAAAAATCCAGAAAAACTTGTCAAGGAAAACATATGCCAATCAAGAAATTAAATATTTATTAAGTACTTAAACCTGTTCTTTATAAAGCACTAATCTAAATGCTAATGAATAGGAAACACTACACATGTGTGAGGGTGTATTTGTGTATGTGTGTGCACACATAACCAGCAAACAGAAGCCAAAATTTAATCATTCTATTTTATTGTGAAATAAATATGCTTTACTAGCACTTCTCAGAGGTAAATGGTGAGAATTAGTGCGGGAAGTAAGATTTTTACTGGGCCTTTGAGAGAGACAGTTTAAGAGGGACAAAAACATAAAGGCAGAAAAAAACAAAATGTACTTGGGGTTCAATAAAAGATTGGTTTTACTAAGGTATATAATTAATATAGGAAACTAGAGCAAGAGATGGGGATGGCAAGTTAGGAACATATGTGAAAGAAATTTATTGTCAGCTAAGTAGTTGTAATTTCTTCCTATGGGAGGCCATTGAAGTGTTTTAGTAGAATATTATAAAATTATTTTTGTTTTCTTAATACTATGACATACTTTTTTCTTTTATGATTATTAAAAGTCATAACTTTAAATATAGTTATTTGTGTATAAATAGCAGTCTTCTTTATCTCAGTTGTAAGCGCTCTATAAACAGAAATGGTCTTCTTAATCTTACATGCTATAGAACCTAGCACAATGTGTGCTTGGTTTATTGTAGAATAACAAGGCTGGTAATTTTAAAATACTAGGCAAAGAATCTGAAAATAGTTGGCAAATGATCTTAAAACAAGTAAACCAGTAAAGACAGTTGCTACTTATTTTTTTCTGAATTTGAACTACAGTTGTAGTCACTGCAAAAAAAAAATTGTGCTGGATGAAAGATTTCTGAACATATAGTCAGTCAAACGTCATACATTTGCATTAAGAGATGACCCCAAAATAGATAGCTTAGAGCAAATTGTGGTACCATTACACTGTGATTTTCTTTTCCTTCTCTGAAAGATCATTTGAATTAGTGGTGGCATATCTTAGAAATATCAATAATTGAAAGAATGATATTTCCAGTGTTTTAAGCAGTTCTAGGCACCTGGATGGTATAATAAATAGTGCGGTAATGATTAAAGGCATGATCAAATGGTAATTTTATTTATTCAATGTTATCTTCCTTTTATTAGCTGATAAAAAATTTAAACTAGACATTTCATGACCTATATTATTATAAACCAATGTTTAATTAATAGATATAAACATTTCTTCCTCTTACATAAATAAAGCATAAATATTTCCTTCTCTTAAGGAATTAAATTCACTAATGCCAGCGTATATCAAATGGCATTTTATGTCAAATACATTTATGTTACATACATTGATAAACATAAAGCTTAAGGGCTTTATGTTTAATTATTTCATATACATACCGTACGTGTTCTAATAAAACACATGTTTAATTATTCCACATACAGACCATATGCTGTATTATATAACACATATGGTATGCATGTGAAATAATTAAACATAAACCGCTTCAGCTGTTGTATCCAAGAAAAACAAAACTGATGTATGAGATGCATTTCCTATGTTAGTATATCTGCCCAATGATGAATCAAATTTTCAGTTTGAATTCATATTGCCAGAAACAGCCAGTCAAAATATTGGGTGGAAACAATAGCATTATTAGACTTGCAAGGATTTAAAAATATACTATTCATTTATTCTTCTTGAAAAGAAATGTTAATATATGTCAATATCAGTGATACTGAAAGTAGGAAATATATGATTTAAACAAAATAGTTTAAGAACTAAATCACACTAAAAACTACAATGTAAGTCATAACATTTTCCATAATAGCTTATAGAACTGAATGCAAGTATCAAGAATAATCTTAAAAGAAAAAGTAAATAGCGTGAACATTAATAATAAACTGGATCTTAAAACTCAGATTATTTAAATAAAAACTAAGAAATTGAGAAGGAATGAAAACACGAAAGATTGCTAAATTTCCCATTCATCATAGGGAGAATCGATTTTGGTTTTTAGCTTTAATGTTGAAATCGAGACAAAGGCATTTTTTAAACATAAAAAGCAAAGTCGACCGAGCACAATGGCTCAGACCTGTAATCCCAGCACTTTGGGAGGCCAAGGTGGGAGGATTACTTGAGGTCAGGAGTTCAAGATCAGACTGGGCAATATAATGAGACGCCCATCTCTACAAAAAGGAAAAAATTAATTATCCAGGGATGGTGGTGCATGCCTGTAGTTCCTGCTACTCAGGGAGGCTGAGGTGGGAGGTTCCTTTGAGCCTGGGAAGTTGAGGCTGCAGTGAGCCATGGTTGCACCACTGCACTCCAGGCTGGGTGACAGAGCAAGACTGTCTCAAGAAAAAAAGCAAAACACCAAAGTCTAGACAAATAATAACATGATATTTTTCTAATTATATCTAGCTTCTGTTTTTACTTCCAGCATCTTGCTATCTTTAGAAATATTTTCTGTTCTTTTTCTAGATTGTTGAGTCAAAGGCTTAATTTGACGTCATTTATTATTTTTATTATTATACTTTAAGTTCTATGGTACATGTGCACAACGTGCAGGTTTGTTACATAGGTATACATGTGTGATGTTGGTTTGCTGCACCCATCAACTGCTCATTTACATTAGGTATTTCTCCTAATGCTGTCCTTCCCCCAGCCCCCCAAACCCTGACAGGCCCCGCTGTGTGATGTTTCCTGCCCTGTGTCCATTTGTTGTCATTGTTCACCTCCCACCTATGAGTGAGAACATGCGGCGTTTGGTTTTCTGTCCTTGTGATAGTTTGCTTAGAATGATGGTTTCCAGCTTCATCCATGTCCCTGCAAAGGACATGAACTCACCCTTTTTTTGGCTGCATAGTATTCCACGGTGTGTATGTGCCACATTTTCTTAATCCAGTCTATCACTGATGGACATTTGGGTTGGCTCCAAGTCTTTGCTTTTGTGAATAGTGCCGCAATAAACATACGTGTGCATGTATCTTTATAGTAGCATGATTTATAATCCTTTGGGTATATACCAAGTAGTGGGATGACTGGGTCAAATGGTATGTCTAGGTCTAGATCCTTGAGGAATCGCCACACTGCCTTCCACAATGGTTGAACTAATTTACACTGCCACCAACAGTGTAAAAGCGTTCCTATTTCTCCCCACATTTATTCTTATGTAATAATTTAAAACATTTAGAGCCAGGAAATAATCTTTGGCTATATAGTTTGATAGGCATTCTCACACTCCTCAGTCCTTCTCTTTGAAATTATTTTCCATTCAATAATTAGAAACACAAAAGCAATATTTAATAAAACAGTCCAACCAATATAGAAATTTCCATAACAAAATTTATGAGTTCTCCTCCCTCCTCAATGTATCTATTTATAGTGATTTGGTGGGTATTGATCCATGATACCCTTTGTTTGAAAGAATAGGCCAGGCGCAGTGGCTCATGCCTGTAATCCCAGCACTTTGGGAGGCCGAGACGGGTGGATCATGAGGTCAGGAGATCGAGACCATCCTGGCTAACACAGTGAAACTCCATCTCTACTAAAAATGCCAAAAAAAAAAAAAAAAATTACCTGGGCGTGGTGGTGGGTGCCTGTAGTCCCAGCTACTCAGGAGGCTGAGGCAGGAGAATGGTGTGAACCCAGGAGGCGGCGCTTGCAGTGAGCCGAGATCATGCTCCTGCACTCCAACCTGGGTGACAGAGCGAGACTCTGTCTCAAAAAGAAAAAAAAAAAAAAAAAAAAAAAAAAAAGAACATGTACACATACAGATTTTTTCCAAAAATTAGATCAAGCATATATTTTTCTGTATTAATTTTTTGATTAATATATAATGTCATTTGCTTTCCAATCCATCATAGATATCGCCTTATTTTAACAAATAACTTCAAAGTAATCAGTAACACAAAACATACAATTTACATTTATTCTTTGTACCATAACTTACTGATATGTTCTACAACTGATGACCATTCAAGCTGTTTCTAGGTTTCTACTGTTAGGTTGGCCTCAATTTCTAAATAATCTGTAATTGCAGTTTTAAATTCTTCTTTGTATCATTATTAGGAGAATATTTTAAAATGTTTAAATGGCTGAGTATTTATTTTTGCTAGGAAATCTTCTTCCAACATTTGGAAAAAATGCACATTCCCCAGGCTGTATTTTTTTTTTTTTTCCTAATTTGGTCTTGAGGTCTCTCTCTCCCTGGAGAGTGGCTATAAGCTGGAGCCTTGCCTTTACAGGGTTCCAGGGGTTTCGTACTAGATGTTTACAGTCTCCCTTTCACAGGATGCTACTTTATCCTGGTGGGCAGCCTAATACCTAACTGTCCGATCTGTGACCTGGTATCCTTGTCACAGGAAACTAGTTGATTCTGGTGGATGTCCCTGTGGCTCTTGTCTGACCTATACTTAGTTTATTCCCACTAATATAGCCACTCTCTAGGAGAGCCCCCATTGGGAAAGAATTTAGGTCCAGGTGTGTCAGTTGGCTGAGACACATAGGCAGTGACTCAAAACATTTGAAATAGCAGAGACAGTTTATTACTTACAGATCTCAGAGAGGTAGTCAGGGCCTACTTTGCAGGGCCAGCTGTAAGTTGGGAGCCATTCAGGACATGTGTGCTCAAACTGCTGATGGGAAGGTAGAGAGAGAGACGCTTGCCAGCCAAATCCTTCACTGGGGTCCAGGGTGTTACCCAAGCCGGTGTAATGGTCCAGTTTGGAGCAAACAGATACGAGTTCCCCAGAGTCATGCTGTGACTGACAGGTGGTCACTACATCATATCTGCTGCATAGTCCATGTGGGGTGGTGGCGGGTGGAGATCAGTTGGGTGGGTCGAGTAGGTTGTTTTTAGCTGTTCCATAGAGAAGTGGTCACCAGGAGGTAATTGTATAAGGCAGATAAATGGTTTGCCACACGGAAGAACTGCAAACTGCTTAGTCAAGAGTGACTAAGCCCTGCTTCTAGCATAAGCAAGTTAAAACTATCTTCAACATGGATGCTGAAGCAACATAAAATTACAAGAATTCACTATGCCCTGTTTATACTATAGAACATTCAATGTATTTTTATAATATCGGTTTATGAATAATTTTATCTATTTTATACAGCTGCATTTATTTTCAGAGACTAAGAAGTTACTGAGCAAATGCTTATTTGTTTTATATGTTTTGATGCTTTCTCTTTTTTTTTTTTTTTTGAGACGGAGTCTCGCTCTGTCGCCCAGGCTGGAGTGCAGTGGCGGGATCTCGGCTCACTGCAAGCTCCGCCTCCCGGGTTCACGCCATTCTCCTGCCTCAGCCTCCCAAGTAGCTGGGACTACAGGCGCCCGCCACTACGCCCGGCTAATTTTTTTTGTATTTTTAGTAGAGATGGGGTTTCACCGTTTTAGCAGGGATGGTCTCGATCTCCTGACCTCGTGATCTCTCTTTTAATACATAAATATTTGTGACTGCTTTATCTTTATTGTCTATAGCAGATTTTACCAATACTAACATACCTCTTTTACAGTGCTTTTGGTCCCCAAATCTATTTTATTTCTATTATTATTCAAACAATTCTTAGTTTACTGTATGATTTTCTGTTATGTATTTACAGATACCTTTATTTTTAGTCTTATTTCATGAGTATTTCTTCAAATAATACATAGGCGAACTTTTCAATCACGTCTAAGAGCCTTTGTTATTTAATATTTAATAAGCATGCCTTTTCATGTGGATTGTTATTACTGAAATGTTAAGTCCAATTTCTGTAACTGTATTTTAAATGTTGGTGTTTTTTAATGACTCTTTGCTGCTTTCTCTTTTTTTCTTCTTTTTTAGTATAATAGTTGGGTTGGTTTTTTTTTCCTATAGAGATATGCAGTTTTAACATTTACTAAATGGAGAGATGTCCTCCATTTGGATGGATGGATAAAAATATGTAATATCATCAATATTTTAACGTTCTTCATATGAATTTGAAAATAAAATGTAATGTTAGCACAAATCTCAATGAGATAATTTTTGGTGGGATGAATCTTGATATGCTTTTAAAAATTTTCCCCTGGAAAACTAAATGTACAAGTACAAAAAAGAAATTGTTAAAACAGAAAAAAGATACTTTATTGACTATACACTAACATTTATTATACCTAGACATTTGCAACCAAAGAGCTAAATCCTCTATCTTCAAATACAATCCTCAGGCAATAGGTAATCTATTTTCTGTCTTTATATATTTTATTTAATTGACATTTTGCATAAATGGGATCATACAATATATAGTCTTTTGTGTCTGGCTTCGTCACTTAATGTTTCCCAAGGTTCCCCCTTACTGCAGCAAGTATCAGCACTTTATTCCGTTTTGTTGCTGCATAACATTGTATTAATATATCACATTTGTTTATCTAATATTGGTTGATGGATGTTTGACTCACTCCCAATATTGGCTATTATGAATAATGTTATGAGCATTCATGTACAAGTTTTTGTGTGAAGAGATGTTCTCAATTCCCAAGGAAATTGGGTAAAAATATACCTTGAAGTGGAGTTCCTGGGTTATATAGCAACCTTGTATTTAACATTTTGAGAAACTGCAAAACTGTTTCCAAAGGAATGATACATTTTAGAATCCCAGCAGCAATGTCTGAGGGATCCAGTTTCTCCAAATCCTTACCAGCTTTTTATTGCCTATCTTTCTTATTCTAGTTACCAAGTGAGTGTGAAGTGGTACTCACTGTAGTTTCGGTGTGCATTTCCCTAATGACTAATGTGGCCATCTTTTCATGTGCTTATTCTCTATTTACATATCTTTCTTGGCGGAATGTCTATTCAGATCCTTTGCCCATTTTTAAACTGGGTTATTGATGTTTTTATTGTTGAGTTGTAAGAGATCTTCATATATTCTGGATACAAATCCCTTATCAAATATGTGATTTGCAATTCTTTTCTCCCATTTTATGGGTTTTCTTTTCAATTAATGTCCATTGAAGCACACATTTTTTTTAAAAAAAACTTTTCATAAAGTGATAAAATTCATTGTCTATGTTTTATTTTGTTATTTTTCTTTGGTGTAATATCTAATAAGCCATTGTCTAATCCAAGGTCACAGAGAATTTTTCTTTTTCTTTTTTTTTTTTTTTTTTTTTTTTTGAGACACACTCTCACTCTGTCACCCAGGCTGGATTGCAGTGGTGCAATCTCAGCTTACTACAATTTCAACCTCCGCCTCTCATATTTAAGCAATTTTCATGCCTCAGCCTCCATAGTAGCTGGGATTACAGGTGCACACCACCACACCTGGCTAATTTTTGTATTTTTTGTAGAGACAGGGTTTTACTATGTTGGCCAGGCTGGTCTCGAACCCTTGCCTCAGGTGATCTGCCTGCCTTAGCCTCCAAAAGTGCTAAGATTACAGGCATGAGTCACCACACCTGGCCCACAGAGAAACTTACTCTTTTCTTCTAAGAGTTTTATACTTCGAGGTCTTATATTTAGCTTCATAATTCATTTGAGCTAATTTTTATATATAATATGAGATAGGAGTCAAATTTTTCATTTTTCAGCATGTGGATATTCAGTTTTCCCAAGACCACTTGTTGAAAAGACTATTCTTTTGCCCATTGAATTGTTTTGGAGCCTTTGTCAAAATAAAAACTGAAAATGTAAGAGTTGGTGGAGCATGGTGGCTCACACCTATAATCCCAGCACTTTGGGAGGCTGAGGTAAGAGGATCGCTTGAACGCAGAAGTCTGAGGCTGAAATCATACCACTGCACTCCAGCCTAGGTGACAGAGCAAGACCCTGTCTCAAAAATGGAAGGGAGGAAGGGAGGAAGGGAGGGGAAGGGAAGAAGGGAGGGAGGGAGGGAGAGAGGGAGAGAGGGAGAAAGGAAAGGAAGGGAGGAAGAGAGGAAAGGAAGGAAAAGGAAGGTAGGAAGGAGAAGGAGGGAGGCTGGGGGGAAGAGAAGGGAGGGAGGGAGGGAGTGAGGGACAAAGGAAGGGAGGAAGAGAGGAAGGGAAAGGAAGGAAGGGAAGGGAAGGGAAAGGAAAGGAAGGGAGGAAGAGAGGAAAGGAAGGGGAAGGAAGGAAGGAGAAGGAGGGAGGCAGGGAGGGAGGGGGGAAGGGAAGGGGAGTGGGGAGGGAGGAAGGAAGGAAGGAAGGGTAGGAAGGGTAGGAAGGGGGAAGGGGGAGGGAGAAGGGGGGAAGGAAGGAGTTTGTTTCTGAAGTCTTAATTCTTTTCCACTGATCTCTATATTTACCTTTGTGTGAGTACAACCACACTTTGGTTGATTTTTTTTTTTTATTGTAGCTTTATAGAAAATTTTGAAACTGGGAAGTATAGCCCATCAGCTTTTTTCTTTTTAAAGATTGCATGGGCTCCTTTGAATTTCCATATGAATTTTAGGATAAGCGTATCAGTCTCTGCAAAAACTAAAATATTGGCAAACATTGCATTGAATCTGTACATCAGTTTAGAAAGTATTGACTTCTTAACAATATTAGCTCTTCCGTTCCATAAATATAAAATGTCTTCTGTTAATTTGGATATTCCTTAATTTCTTTCAATAAAGCTTTGGAGATTTAGTGTATGAATTTTTCAATCCTTTTATTAACTTGTAATAACTTTTTGATGATTTTATTTCAGGATTTTTTCCTTTTCTTGGAATGCTCATTTCATGTGTATAGAAATATAATTAATTTTTACATATTGATGTTACATCCAGGGACCTGGCTGACTTCATTTATTCTGGTTTGGATTTTTTCCTATTTCTTTAAATTTTTCTATGTACAAGACTATTTCATCTTTGAATAGAGATAGTTTTCTTTCTTTTCAATTGGGATGACTTTTATTTATTTATTTATTTATTTATTTATTTATTTATTTATTGCCTAATTGTCTTGGCTACAGCTTTCAATACAATGTTGAATATATGTGGTGACAGAGGACATCTTTATTTTATTGCTCACCTAAAGTAGAAAACATTTAGTGTCTTACCATTAAGAATAAGTATGATGTTAGCTGTGAGTTTTTCACAGATGCCCTTATCAAATTTCAGAATCTGATATGGTTATCAGATTTCAGAATTTCAGAATTCTTAATGAATTTCAAGAATCTGGTTTAGGTAACTCCTATCAGATTTAATAATTTTCTATTCTGAATTGAGTGTTTTTGAAGGGTTTGTTGAGTGTTTTGGTTGTATTTTATCAAATAATTTTTTTTTGTCTATTGAGGTGATAACGTGAGGTTTCTTTCCTGTATTCTGCTAATAAGCTGTATTCCAATTATTGATTTTCATATATTCAACTAACTTTCATTCTTGGAATGAATCTCCCTTGGTCGTAGAATATAATCCTTTTTATTGATTGCTGAGTTTGTTTGCTAGTATTTTATTGAGGATTTTTGCCTCTATATTCACGTGATATCTTTGCCTGCTTTTGGTATGAGAAAAATACTATGCTCACGAAATAAGTAGGACAGTGCTGGAAAAGTTTGTGACAAACCGTTCTTAATACTTCTTCAAACATTTGTTAAAATTCTACACTGAAGCCATCAGGGTGTGAGCTTTTCTTTGGCAGAAGTTTTTTGGACTACTAATTCACTTTGTTTTAGGTTTATTCCATTTTTTGTTTGTTGTTCAGTCAGTTTGAGCAGTTTGAGTCTTTCCAGAAATTAGTCCATATTATCTAGATTATCTAATATTTGGCACGCAATTATTAATAGTGTTTTCCTATAATCTTTCTATTTCTGTAAGGTCAGTATGAACCCCTCTCGTTTCTGATATTAGTATTTAAGGTATTTAAATTCTGTATGTGTGTGTGTGTGTGTGTGTGTGTGTGTGTGTGTGTGTGTGTGTGTGTGTTTGGTCAATCTAGATAAAGTTTTTTATTTTTGTTAAACTTTTTAAAAAACCAACTTTCGATTTTGTTGATTTACTCCCTTGTCTTTTCATTCTCCATTTCTTTTTTTCTGTTTTTTTTTCCTTCTTTCTTTTTGCTTAGGTTTGGTTTGCTTTTATTGTTGTGGTTTTTTAAGGGAAAAGTTAGGTAACTGAATTGAGCTTCTTAAAAAATATATAAGCATTTAAACCTATAAATTTCTCTGTAAGCATTGTTTTGCTGGATCCCATTACTTTTGGTATGTTCTGTTTTTGTTTTTGTTTTTATTAGTCTCAAATGATTTTTTAATTTATCTATGATTTTTTCTTTGATACACTAGTTATGTAGACTTCTGGTTTTAGATTTTCATATATGGGTGAATTTCCTAAACTTTCTTTTGTTACTAATTTCTAATTCCATTGTATTTAGACAACATTCTTTGTATAACTTCAATTACTGTAAATTCACTGAGACTTGCTTTATGGCATAACATATTCTGTCCTGCAAAATATTTCATGTGCTTTTGAAAAGAATATATATTCTGTTGTTTTTTGGTGGGGTTTTATAGATGTCATTATCGCTAGTTGATTTATAGTGTTAAGTCTTCTTTTTCATTGTTGATCTTCTGCCTGGTTCTTTCCATTACCAAAAGTGGGTTATTAAAAGTTACTAATAATTATTCTCTAATTGTCTGTTTTGACCACCAATCCTGTTAGTTTTTACTTGTATTTTAGAGTTCTGTTTTGGAGGGCATATGTATTTATCATTTTTAATATCATTCTGGTGAATTGACTTATCATGAAAAATATCCTTCATTGCCTCAAGGAACAAATTTTGTCCAACAGTCTATTTTTTTTCTGCTGTCGTAGCCACTCAAGCTCTTTTTTTTAAATAAAATTTTGCATCCTTTTATTTGGATATTAAACTTTTTATTGAACAAATAAAAAGTTGCATCCAACTTATTTGAATCTAAAGTGTATCTCTTACAGACAGTAGACGGTGAGTTCATGATTTTTATCCATTCTGCTAATCTCTGTCTTTGGATTGGAGTATTTGGTCTATTTATACTTAATATAATTTCTAATAAAGTAGGATTTCCATCTATTATGTTGCTCTTTTCTATGACATATTTCTTATTTTGTCATCTATTCTTCAAGTACTTAATGTTTTGTGTTAAATAAATACTTTTAGTAAACTATTATAATTCTCTTACTTTACAAGAAGTTTTGAAGTTTTTTTAATCCTTTTTCTGGGAATTACAATTAATATCTTAATATCTTAATTCAAAACAATCTAGTTCAAATTACAACTTAATTTTAAAAACACATGAAAACTGCCTCTATATAGCTCAATTCTTTCCACCCTTTTTGTTATTATTGTCAAATTACATCTTTATACACTATAAGCTCATCAGCACAATTTTATAATTACTGTTTCATGCAGTTGTCAATTACATTATGTAAGAGAAAAAAAGAATTAAAAACCAAAATATATTTGTACTGACTTTTATATTTACATATGCAATCATCTTTAACAGTGTTCTTTATTTCTTTTTGTGAATTTGAGTTACTGTCCAATGTCCTTTCCTTTTAGCCTAAATGACTCCCTTCATATTTCTTGTGGCACAGTTCTAATGGGAACAAACTCTCTAAGCTTTCATTTATTTGGGAATCTTAATTTTTCCCATTTGTGAAGCATAGTTTTGCTGCATATAGAACTGTCAGTTGACATTCATTTTCTTTCAGTATATTTCCCAATTATTTCCCAGTGTTTCTTTGAGTATATTTTCCCAATTCCTTTTAGCCTCTATAGTTTCTGATGGATGGTCAGTTATAAATCTTATTGAGGATCTCTTTTATATGGCGAGTCACTTTTCTCTTGCTGATTGTATGATTATATCTTTGCCTTTGGACAGCATGACTTTCTATCTTTTTGTAGATATCTTCGAGTTTCTCCTCCTTAGATTTCATTGAGCTTCATTAATGTATAAAGATTGCTTATTAAATTTAGGGAGTTTGAGGCCATTAATTCTTGAAATACTGTTTTTCGTCTTTTTCTTTCTGTTCTTCCCTTTTTAAACTCCATTGTGTATATTTTGGTATGCTTGATGGTGACCCACAGGACTGTAAAGTCTTGTTTATGTTTTCTTTATTCTTTATTTCGTATTGTTTCTCAGACTAGGTAATTTCAGCTGAACTTCAAGTTAGCTGAATATTTCTTCGGCTTGCTCAGATCTGCTGTTGAGCCCTGTATGAGCTTCCTAGGACTGCCATTACAAAGTACCATAAACTGGGTGGCTTAGACAACAAATATTTATTGTCTCACAATTCTGGAGACCAAGAGTCTGAAATCAAGATGTTGGCAGAGTGGTTAGTTCTTTCTGAGGGCTGTTAGAAAGAGTCTGTTCTATGCCTCTCTTTTCCAGTGGTTTATCAGCAATCTTGAGTGTTTCTTAGCTTATGTACATACCACCCTGATATCTGCTTTTATATTCCCATGTGTTGTCTATGTGTGTGTCTGTCTCTACATTTCCACTTTTTATAAAAACATTAGTCCTATTGGATTAAGGCTTACCTGAATAACCTTTGTTTAACTTGATACCTTTGTAAAGACTCTGTCTCCAAAGAAAGTCGTATTCTGAGATATCAGGGTTAAGGACTGTAACATATGAATTTGGTGGAGGGCATAGTTTAATCCATAATAAGACCTTCTAGTGATTTTTAAAAATTTCTGTTATTATCCTTTTCAACTCCAGAATTTATATTTTGTTTTTATTAATATATATAATTTCTATCTCTTTATTGCTATGCTCTTCTTGGTGGGACATGATTCTCGTATTTTTAGGCACAGTTAACATATTAGGGTTCTCTAGAGGGGCAGAACTAATGGAATAGGTATGTATAAAGGGAAGTCTATTAAATATTAACTCACATGATTACAAAGTCCCACAACAGGCCGTTTGCAGGCTGAGGAGCAAGGAGAGCCAGTCCGAGTCGCAAAACTGAAGAACTTGGAGTCCAATGTTCAAGGGCAGGAAGCATCCAGTATGGGAGAAAGATGTAGGCTGGGAGGCTAGACCAGTCTCTCTTTTCACACTTTTATGCCTGCTTACATTCTAGCCACACTGGCAGCTGATTAGATTGTGCCCACCCATATTAAGGGTGGGTCTGTCTTTCCCAGACCAGAGACTCAAATGTTAATCCCCTTTGGCCACACTCTCACAGACACACCTGGCATCAATACTTTGTATTCTTCAATCCAGTCAAGTTGACACTCAGTATTAACCATCACAGTTGTTTGGTTCTCTGAAGTTAACACAGTTAAGTTTAGCTCTGAATAATAGCTGTTAAAGTCGTTATGTAGTAAATGCAATGTCTTTGGTTGCTCAGAAAAAAGTTATATTGACTGCTATTTTCTTTCTATTTATGAGCCATAGTTTTCTGTTTCCTTGTGTGCCTCATATTTTTCTGTAGAGAACTGGACATTTAAAATAAGATAACCAGAAATCAGAATCCTACTTCTCCCCATCATGTTTTGTTGTTGTCATTGCTGCTGTTTATTTGCTTGGTGACTTTCCTGGAATAAGTCTGTAAAGTCTACATTTTTTGTATACAGTTACTGAAATCTCTGGTCAGTTAGCTTGGGATTTAGCTAATGATGATCAGACAGAGATTTACTTAAGTGCTCCGAATTGGTAAACCTTCCTCCAGGCTTTGCCATGGCCCACAGCATTTGTGTGTGTGTGTGTGTGTGTGTGTTTTGGGTATGTGTTGACATATTCTTAACAATAAGTCAGAGCTTCTCAAAGTCCCTATGAAAATATCATTCCTGAGTTTTCTCTTTTTGGTCAGTCTCTTGTTAACTGCAATTGATATCACTGCCTCACGCAGCTATAATATGAAATAAACGATTGCTACTTTTTCTAACAAATGCTCTCAAGATAGAACTTTTCACACAGAGTGAGCTCTGAGTCTGATCAAATAAGAGTTTGAGCCTCTCCAGAGAGCTGCCACAGGGAAAATTATAACAAATTTTTGCACATGGGCATTTTGGGGAGCTCCAAACCTATTCCATCCCAGTCAGTGGCTAGCAGGCTCCTGGTTTCACAGCTACCATTGTTTCAAGGCTGGTGGTTTCCCCAGCGTCCGAGCTGAGAAGAGAGGAATGGGAGCACGCCAAGTTAAAACACTATGTTCTTACTGCAATTCAACTTCATTTCTTGTATAAATGCTCTATGACTAGCTACAAAGTTTTCATTAATTTCCAAAGTTCTAAGAAGGTTGATTTTCATAATGTTTGTGGCTGTTCTTACTGCTTTTATTTATTTTTTTAATTTTAATTGGTACATAATAATTGTACATATTTAGATGATATAATGTCATGTTTTGATACATGTATATATTGAGTAATGTTCAAATCTGGGTAATTAGCATATCCATCACCTAAAACATTTGTCATTTTTTTGTGGTGGGAAAATTCAAAATCCTCTCTTCTAGCTATTTTGAAATATATAGTACCTTATCATCTACTTTAGTCATCCTACCATGCAATAAGACACCAGAACTTACACTTCCTTTATAATTGTGACTTCGCACCCATTGACCAACCTCCCTCATCCCCGTCCTCCTCCTTATCTCCCCCAGTCTTTGGTAGCCACTTTTCTATTCACTGCTTCTATGAGATGAATTTTTTAAGATTTTACATATGAGTGAGAACATACACTATTTGCTTTTCTGTATCTGGCTTATTTCACTTAACATAATGTCTTTCAGGTACATCCATGGACAAATGATATAATTTTATTCTTTTTTATGGCTGAATAGTATTCCACTGTGTGTATATACCACATTTTCTTTATTCATTGCTGGACATTTAGCTTGGCTATTGTCAATACTGTTGCCTTAAACATGCAAGTGCACATATGTCTACAACATACAGATTTCCTTTCCTTTGGATGTATAGCTGGTAGTAGAATTGCTGGATAATATGGTAGTTCTACTTTAAGTTTTTTGAAGAACTTTCATACTATTTTCCATAATAGCTGTACTAATTTACATTCCTACCAACACTAGTTATCTTTTGTCTTTTGGAAATAATCATTCTAGCTAAAGTGAAATGATATCTCATTGTGTTTTTGATTTTCACTTCCTTGATAATTAGTGATGTTGAATATTTTTCCTTATACCTGTTGGCCATTTTTATGTATTCTCTTAAGAAATACCTATTAAGATATTTTGCCTGTTTTTAATCGGATATTTTTATGGAGTTGTTCGAGTTCCTTAAATATTCTGGCTGTTAACCCCTAATCCGTTAAATAGTTTGCAAATATTTTTGCCACTCTTTAAATTGTGTCTTCACTGTTAATTATTTCCTTTGGTGTACAGGAGCTTTTTCATTTTATGTAATCCCACTTGTCAATCTTTGCTTTTGTCATCTTTGCCTTTGAGGTCTTGTCCAAAAATATGTTGCCCAGTCCAGTGTCATGAAGCATTTCCTCTATTTTAACTTCTAGTAGTTTCATAGTCTTGGATCTCACATTATGCTGTTTGAGATCATTCTACCTTTTTGATATAGTAATTTATTTCTATATACTCCTCTCTTAGAAATTATTTTACTATATTCCATAGGTTTTAGTATGTTGAGCTTCCATTTTCATTTCTTTTTTTATTCCTATTTATTTTAAATTTTTTATTTCCATAGGTTATTGGGGAACAGGGGGAGTTTGGTTACATGAGTAAGTTCTCTAGTGGTGATTTGTGAGACTGTGGTGCACTAGTCACCCAAGCAGTTTACACTGTAACCTATTTACAGTCTTTTATCCCTCAGCCCCTTCCCACCCTTTCCCCTGGGTTCCCTAAGTCCATTGTGTCATTCTTATGCCTTTGCGTTCTCATAGCTTAACTCCCACTTATGAATGAGAACATATGATGTTTGGTTTTCCATTCCTGAGTTAATCTCACTTAGAATAATAGTCTGCAATCTCATCCAGGTTGCTGTGAATGTCATTAATTCATTCCTTTTTATGGCTGAGTAGTATTCTATTGTATACAGATATACCACAGTGTCTTTATTCACTTGTTGATTGATGGGCATTTGAGTTGGTTCCACATTTTTGCAGTTGCAAATTGTGCTGCTACAAACATGCATGTGCAGGTATCTTTTTCATATAATAACTTCTTTCCCTCTATGTAGATACCCAGTAGTGGGATTGCTGGATCAAGTCTGAAATTTTAAAATTTTCCTTTTAATTTCTGCATTAACCCATTGGTTATTTAGGAGTATTGTTGTATTGGACTCTATCTCTCCCTTTAGATCTACTGCTATTTGCTTTATATATTTGAGTGCTTCAGTGTTGGGTGCATATATATTTACAATTGTTGCATTCTCATGCTGAATAAATGCTTTCATAATTAATGACCCTTTTTATCTCTTTTTACAGTTTTTGACTTAAAATCCGTTTTTGCGGATATAAGCATAGCTACTCCTGCTCATTTTTTGTTTCCATTAGCATGGACTATCTTTTACCATTTCTTCATTTTAAGTTTATATGTGTTCTTATAGGTGAAATGAGTCTCTTGTAGATAGCATTTAGTTAGGTCTTGTTTTTGTTTCTATCCATTCAGCCATTCTGTAGCTTTTAATTTGATAATTTAATACATTTACATTCAAGGTTATTATTCCTGCCACTTTATTAGTCATTTTCTGACTGTTTGGTGGACTCTTTGTTCCTTTCTTCCTCTCTTGTTGTTTACCTTTGTGGTTTGATGATTTTCTGTGGTACTAAGTTTTGACTCCTTTCTCTTTCTTTTTGTGTGTCTGCTGCAGTTTATTTCTTGTGGTTACCGTGGGGCTAACATAAAGAATCTTGCAGTTATAATAGCCAGGTGCAATGGCTCATGCCTGTAATCCGAGCACTTTGGAAAGCCAAGGTGGGCGGATCACCCGAGGTCAGGAGCTCAAGACCAGCCTGGCCAACATCAGCCAGGAATAGTGGCATGCACCAGTAGTCCCAGCTACTCTGGAGGCTGAGGCAGGAGAATCGTTTGAATCCAGGAGGTGGAGTTTGCAGTGAGCTGAGATTGCACCACTGCACTCCAGCCTGGGTGACAGAACAAGACTCCATCTCAAAATAATAATAAAAAAGTTGTAGTTATAATAGACTATTTTAATATTTTAGGCCAATAACAATTTAGCTGTGCTCCTGTAAAGGTACTCTGGACTATTTTCCTTCCTTTGCCTCACAATTTATATTCTTCTGCCTTAATTTACGTCTTTGTATATTATGTATTCCTTAACTATCTAATTATAGCTGTGTTATTTTTGACATTTTGACTTTTAACTTTCATACTAGAGATTTGAAAGATATAAGTTGCACCATTACAGTACTGGAGCATCCTGAGTTTCATTATGAATTTTTCTCTACTAGCAAGTTTTATACTTTCATATGTTAGCATGATAGTGATTATCTTTTCACTTCCAGTTGTAATGCCCTCTTAAACATCTCTTGGAAGACCAGTCTAGTGGTGATGAATTCCCTCAGATTTCGCTTGTATGAGCAGGACTTTATCATTCCTTCCTTTCTGAAGAATAGCTTTGCTAGGCATAGTATTCTTTGCTAGAATATTTTTTCTTTCAGCACCTTGAAAATATCATCCCATTCTCTCTAGGCCTGCAAGATTCCTACTGGGAAATCTTTTGGTAGTCTAATGTGGGCTTCCTTATATATGACCCGATGTTTTTTTCTTGCTGCTTTTACAATTCTTTGCCTCTGACTTTTGACAGTTTGATTATAATGTGCCCCAGAGAGGACCTTTTTGGCTTGAATCTATTTGAGGACCTTTGAGCTTCATGGATATAATACATAATAAGTGTCTAACCACTGTTAATTTCTTTTCCAGGTGGCATTAAATCATTTAATGCCTCAATTACTTTTAGGCCCTATCATAAAACAAATGTGCTTTATTTTTTCTGTCACCATCTAAAGATATTAACTTGAAAATGTATTATGGGTATTATAACAAGCTTCAAGTCAGATATCTGCCCTTCACATAGTTTTGTAACTTTGTGCAATTGCATAAAACTCTTCAAGTCTAAGTTTACTAGTCTAAAAAATGGAAGAGATACTCAAGAGGATTTCAAACTGATTTTAAGCTGGGGATCTTTGGCTTGGTTCTCTTGGTTGTATAACAGAAAACCACATCAATCTAGCTTAAACAAACAAAAATATATTTTATTGACGATATACTGTCTGGAATCTCAGGGGCAGAAACCTAGGTTCACTTTATTGTTCTGCTATTAACATGATTCATTGTTCTGAATTTCTATGCGTCTCCATTCAAACTTCCTTTTGAAAGGATCTGATTAATTCACCTTGTGTCTACTTCAGTCACAAAAAGTATTATCTGAGAAATTATCAGTTAGATAGCACAAGCATATCTATTGGTACCTGCTCCTCAGGTTGGGGGGAGGGGATATAATTTTCAGAGAATTGTGAGCTGAATGGGCAATCCTAAATATTATCTTGTATGGTTTACTTCTTAGATGTTCAAAACAGATAGGCTTTTCTTTTCACACATGTGATTCCAAACTCATTTATCGTGATTCACCTCTCCTACATACAAATGCAAA
Organism: Homo sapiens; assembly: GCF_000001405.40. NCBI lineage: Eukaryota > Metazoa > Chordata > Mammalia > Primates > Hominidae > Homo > Homo sapiens. The sequence goes on along the minus strand of NC_000008.11, from coordinate 15,863,555 downwards.
CACACAGCTCCCACCAATGAAAGGCAATGAAAGGTCATTCATTTACTATATCCAGAAGAGATGTCATTGAAGAATTTTTCTCGGAGTCTGTAATTTCTAGGTGATGTTCTTTTTTCCTTAATCTACTTCCAGCTGCTTTATTATTTTGTAGTCTGTGGACTGGTTAATTTGATAACACACATATACATTTCTGGTGTATTTGTGATGAGTTTCTTCTGTCTGCTATAATCAATTTAATTTCTTCTACTAAGTAATAAAAAACAAATATAATGTTATCCACAAGAACTTTTATAACGTTTGACTTTTGAGGCTTTTAAAAATGTATCTTACATTTTTAAAAATTTACTTACATTTGAGGCTCTGAAAAATGTATCTACTCATTTGTATTTTAATTTACTTATCAAGTCTTCAAAAATCATTCACATAGTCTAATCTTGGGAAATATTTGTATTAGCACACTAAAAATAAAATATTGTTTTAAATAGATTCCCTACCTTTCCTCACCTCCACCCTACCCCATGGAATATTTAAAGGATAAAATAAATTAAAACAAATGAAACAGGTAGAAAAAAATAGAAACTGGTTGCTGAGAAGCTAAGCAGTAATAATTGAGATTTTATTACCTGAAGAATGGCAATATTAATCTTTCAAAAATCAAACCATCCCACTATCAATTTGAAAGAGTTCTGAAGGAAACAATTCTACAATATCCCATAGTTACTCACTGCCAAAAAATCTTTTATCTTCCCAATGTTTTAGCCAACTTAAGTATGCAATGGAAATAGTTTTGCCTACGTGGGTCTTGAAAAGGAACACAAAATGTTTTTCTTGGCTGTGTATTAAACTGCCTGAAGTCTGTCAATCTCTTGAGATAATGTGAAAATTTGGAGGGTTTTACATGATTTAAGGACAGGCCTCATGCCCACATATAGGCTCCTTCATCTCTGAAAAATTCAGAAGGGCTCTACCTGCTTCCAACTTTCTGAAAAAGTACAGACTCAATCTTAAGAAAGAATATTTGCTATTCCTGATATTTTTGAAAATTCTCAGGCAGGGTTGAAAAATAGACCTTTAACAGGCTTATCTTGAAAACAATTTAGAGTAAGTTCAAAGAGATTTAATGTCTTGAAAACCTTAATGACTGTGTTCCATTTCCGGTAAGAATGTAGAAAGCAATGAAACATGGTTGTTCTTTATGTAACAAGAAAACACTGGGTAAACTAAATCGTGTTGTTTTCCGCTAAAGCTATCTAAAAGCTGTAGATGAAAAGAAGTTCAAAATGAACTAAATTTCAGAGAGGAATGAGGCCTTGTTAAATAAGAGAACAAGCAGTTGCTCACATTTGTGGGGGCCACAGCCTTGTTTGTTTATGGGAAGGCAGAAAAGCAATCTTGTCAAAGGCAGGAAGGCTTTGTTAGCACAAAGATAACACAATTGTATTTTTAATGAACATGTGGTTTATCAGGAGGAATTAAAATCTGAAATATCCCCAAATGCAAAATTCATCATCCCAACTTTGCAAATCTCCCACAGAGCATATTTTGTTAAATAAACCATGACTGACTAGGGAGGGAGCTAAGAGGCAGAGGGGGATATAGTGGTGCTTACATCCCAAAGTCCCAAACTAGGGCTTTAAAAACACTATCAAAATACATTAATAAGTTTAGAAGAAAAGATACATAAAATGATCAGTAGTTGTGGAATTGTTCAGGAAAAAGGACATTTATAAAGAACTAAATGATAATAGAACTGAAAATTTCAATTTTTGAAATATAAAGTTTATTGAAATTAAATAAAGTTAATCAGCCTTCTGTAGGAGGAGATTAAACATAGTAAAAGAAAGGATCAGGGAATTGAAACTATCTAAACAAGAGAGAAAAAATAATGAATAGAACAGAGCATCAGAGACCCGTGGGATAATATATGTAGATTAACATGGGAATCCTAGGAGAAGAGATAAAGAATGGAACAAAAGGAATAGACAAAAGGCAATGATTGAGTTTTTTTTGTTGTTGTTGTTTGTTTTTTTACAAAGTTAATACTGGCATCAATCTACAGATTCCAAAAGTCCAGTGAACTTGATGCAGGACAAATACAATGAAAATCATATCTAGGTATATCAGAGTCAACCTGTTGAAACAAAAAATTTTAAAAGTTAAGAGAAAATGTTAAAAGCAGCCAGAGAATAAAGTCACATTGCTAAATTCAAGTGAAAATATTAAAAATAAAAGCTGACTTCTTAATTCTCATAAAAAAAATAGAAACCAAAAAACACAATAAGGCACCATTTTTAATGTGCTAAAAAAACTATTAACTTAGATTTCTATGTCCAGCAAAATTATTATTTGAAACTAAACAAAAACTTCTGAAATAAAACAAAAGCTGACAGAATTTGTGACAGAAGAATTTCTCGCATAATAATAAAGAAAACTCTTCAGGCTAAAGATAAATGATGATGGAAGTCTGTATCTTCAGGAAGAAATGAAGAGCACCAGAAGTCGCAAATATGTTGATAAATGTAAAATGTGTGTGTGTGTATGCTTCTTTAAAAGACTATTATTAACTGTTTGAAGGAAAAAATAATAACAAGGTTTATACTATAGATTGAAATTAAATACTAAATAGGACAAACAAAAAAGGAGTAAATAAAATTATACTGTGGTAAAGTGTTTTTTTGTTTTGTTTTGTTTTTTGAGACGGAGTCTTGCTCTGTCGCCCAGGCCAGAGTGCAGTGGCGCCATCTAGCTCACTGCAACCTCTGCCCCCCAGGTTCAAGCGATTCTCCTGCCTCAGCCTCATGAGTAGCTGAGATTACAGGCGCCCACCAACATGCCTGGCTAATTTTTGTATTTTTAGTACAGACGGGGTTTCACCACGTTGGAGAGGCTGGTCTCAAACTCCTGACCTCAAGGATCTGCCCACCTCAGCCTCCCAAAGTGCTGGGATTATAGGCAAGAGCCACTGCGCCCAGCCTGTGGTAAAGTTTTTACAGTGGATTATAATAAATTGAGGAGGCATACTTTAAGCACTAAAACTATCAAAAATGTAAAACAGAAACAAAGAGGAATGGCTAAGAAAAAAATCCAAGAATACTATAAAATACTTGTTTAATCTACAAGAAGTTAGGAAAGGAAGAATAAATGAGAAAAGGAGCAGATGAGACAAACAGAAAATAAATAGCCTGGTAAACTTAAACCCAACCATGGGATCCTTTGAAATAGAAAATTGAAGCCCATTCCAAATTTCTATCAACACAGTGGTTTCTGCTTTGAGTATAAAGATCAGTAATAGGCAGTCACTGTTTTTCCATCCACGTTTTCACAACTGTATTTTATTCTGTGAGCACATTTGTAATAGTATATTTCTTCTGCCAACATCCCGTCCCCTTACTGTTACCATTTGAGTGGAAAAATTGTCAACCGATACATTGCCAAGAAAAACTCATTGACTATACTAAATAGCCTTCCAGATAAGACACATTCTCATCCTTAAATTTGAGAGAATAGAAATGTGAGATTTTCATCTACTCTGACAGTAAATACAAAAAATTTATTTATTCACTTAATTGGAGACAAGGTTTTCTCTGTCACCCTCTCTGGAGTACAGCAGTGTGATCATGGCTCACTGCAGAATTGATCTCCTGGGCTCAAGCAATCCTCCCATCTCAGCCTCCTTAGTAGCTGGGAATGCAGGCACATGCCACCACCCAAACTGTTTTTTACGTTTTTTTGTAGACATAGGGTCTCACTATGTTGCCCAGGCTGGTCTCAAACTCCTGGGCTTAAGTGATCTTCCTGCCTCAGCTTCTTAAAGTTGAAAATTTCATTTTGACCATGGAAATATTTCTACAAATAAAGTTTGCACAGACCAAATGTTCAGTTTCAAATTTTAAGTTATGTCCTCAAGAAAGAAGCATGAAAAATAGATGCTATATTTGTCTGTAAGAGGAGAACACTAGCTACCAATTAATTCTCTTCTGATAATAAAGTAGAAGGTGGAATAATATGTAAGGATAGGTATAATTTTCATCTTGATCTAGTATTTGTAAGACATTAGTAAGTTTTTATTATTCAGGTTGAGCCTGATTATTTATTCTACTATAGCAAAAAAAAAAACTATGTAAATAACTATTAACCAAATGTTGAATAGAAGACAAGCTTTCTTTCCTGGTCAAATATATTGTAGCCTAAAAGATCTTTACATTTTTTCCCTTTTGGATTTTGCTTGCTTATGTTCAGTTGTATGTGAACTAGAAATAAACCTCGTGCCTAACACACTAAAGTTTTGGGAGCTGTTTGTTTGAACAGCTAGTTCACTCTAATCTGACAGTAGACAATTTCATAGTTTTAAAATACTAATATACTAACTTGATTAAATATGAATTAATCATTTTCATAAAAATCAAACAGCTCTTGAAATAGGGTGTCATCTGTGCCCTTATAAAAGTAATGAGTGAGAGTAGGCCGGGCGCGGTGGCTCACGCCTGTAATCCCAGCACTTTGGAAGGCCGAGGCGGGCGGATCACGAGGTCAGAAGATCGAGACCATCCTGGCTAACACAGTGAAACCCCGTCTCTACTAAAAATACAAAAAAAAAAAATTAGGCGCGGTGGCGGGCGCCTGTAGCCCCAGCTACTCAGGAGGCTGAGGCAGGAGAATGGCGTGAACCCGGGAGGCGGAGCTTGCAGTGAGCTGAGATTGCGCCACTGCACTCCAGCCTGGGCGACAGAGCGAGACTCTGTCTCAAAAAAAAAAAAAAAAGAATGAGTGAGAGTCACAAATAAGTTAAGTCCAGCTTTTGATGAGTAGATTCTATTTCTGTACAAAATAATGATTGAAGTAATTGAAATATGAGTGCTGAAGAGCAGGGGAGGAGCAAAAGAGATCTAATTTAATAAGAGAACAATTTTCCATGATTAACAAAAGTCAAAGCAGCACATTTTAGGCATATTATTTGGATTTACTATGATAGTTGTTAAATAAATGGACAATGTTAATTTGTAAAAGGCTCAAATCCCACTGCTTGAAAAAGCCTATCATTATTGTGGGAGGGGGGATTCTTGAAATATGCTCCGCCTCTGTACCTTCTAATGTGCTCAGCCCCTACGCCTACTCTAACTTCCCTTTCTAACACGGTGAATCAAAATAATTAAGCCAGGAGTTGACTCCTATGAATACCTCGTGTGATCAAGTGCAAGGGTTTTGATGAAACAGGATGAAAATCAAATACTTTGCTATGTGATAATGGAAGGGGAGGCACGAGGGCAGGGGAGATGCAGGATAGTTGTTTTTTGTTTTTGTTTGTTTGTTTTCTTAAGAACTGGGTCCAAACTAAACTAACAAAGAAAATATTCTTTATTAAATCTCACTTTAGGCTGTTTGTCTCAAACAAGCAAAAAAATAAAAAATAAAAACACTTGTTTTGTGAGATATGTTCACTTTGCCAGTAACTAACAACCCTGAGTTCTTACACAAAAGAACCCTTGGGGACAAAAATCTATTCTTGCAAAGAGGTCTGAGTTTTACCCACAGAAAGGAGTAAAATGATTGACAAAGAGTCTTGACAAGGATGTCAGTTACGGGCAAGTCTTCATGTTGGATGTGAGCAGGGAGAGGAACACAGGAGACAGCAGATAAGGGCCAATGACAGAGAAAGCAAAACTGATTCCTGATCACTCTTCAGTTAATAAGACCACCCAGGGAGAAATGAAGTGAAACCCAGAAATACCCATGTCATATAATTTTAGTTTCTGAAAGAGTCTGAAAGAGAAAACTTTGTTGTCCTGAGAAGTACTATTTGAAACAGTATACTTTCTGTCTTCTTGACTTTTAATACACTGGTATCAATGTCCTAAATGGTAGCAAGAATGGCCTAAATAATGCCTTTCAAATTTGCAGCCTTTATGGTTATCCATCCATTCATTTTGTTGTAAAAACTTATTTTTTTTTTAATTTTTTTTTTTTTTTTTTTTTTTTTTTTGTAGAGATGGAGTCTCGTTAGATTGCCAGGGCTGGTTTTGAACTCCTGGCCTCAAGTGATAGTCCTTCCTCAGTCTCCCAAGGTGTTGGAAGGACAGATGTGAGCCACCATACCTGGTCTGTAAAAACTGTTTATATGCTAGGCTGTGGGAATACAGAAGTGAATATGGCAGTGACGTCAAGCAGCTTGCAAGTAGCAGGCACGCAAACAAAACCAGTGCGTGGTACGAGTAGCACACACTGAGCAGGGCCCTGTTGATACGTGGAATACGCAGGGTAAAGGCGCTTCTTCCTCCTGGGTTAGGGGTGAGGACATGTGAGAAAATTCTACCTTCGTAAAATCCTGTTTTGTTATTTTGTTTTTGGCATCTAATTCTAGCTGCCTTCTAATGTGAGTGCCCTTTCTGAAAGCCAAATTACTACAAAGATATTCTAGATATAATAAATTGTAAGTTACCATATTTTAGGAACAGTGTTTAGATCTCTGGGGGTTTTTGAGATAATTGCTGCAGTTTCCCCCAAAATTCTTAGACCAAGAAATGCTATGACTGGCTAATTCCTCCAGCCTTCTGGATTTTATTAGGTGTTCTAATGATCAGTGAGCAGGGCAGGTTTACACAAAGCCGCTCAGTTGGGAGGTCTCAGAATATCTGCTGAGGGCATGGCCCAGAACATGCTGAAATGTGCCAGTTGTAGCCAGAAGGGAGATTTTTCAATGCAGTGACTTTCATCACAGATACAGCTTTCTCCTGGCCATCAGAAAACTGGAAAGGAAAAGGAGAAGTGTGACAGAAACAAACACTGCATATACATCATCAGTTTTAAACCCCACGGTGTCCATGTAAATGCGCTTTTATCTCTCACAATGCTACAGAGAGAAAAGCATCATTTAAGCACAAAAATAATTTGAAAGTGACAGAGATTAAATAAATGGCAAGGGCATAACTAGAATTGAAAGCAGGGAAGTCTGACTGAAAGCCTCTTCCCAGGACCTTGGCACCATATTTTCTCCAAAGCAGCAGTGAAACCCACGTGTGAAGACACCAAGACAGCAGTGAATCTGTAAAGTCTGATGATAAATAAATTGTCCTTTGTCAATCCCATCACCAGCCTTCTAAGTTTCTATGTACTCTTCTAAAAAAAAAAGAGAGAAAATCTCTGCTGAATAGACTTGATTCCAGTGGCACACATCTGTCATAATAAAACCAAAGGACCATGCGTGAGTATATAAAAATCAACACCACCTTGAGTGTCTGAAGCCAATATACCTTTGTTGTCTAATGAGGAGCAATGTGTTGCTATATGCTTTCAGGTGATTTAGATAAGGATTGGAAAGATTAAGCACCTTGTTCAAGACTATATAGCTATTGGTAGCTACTAAACAACAGAACCCAGAAAATGTTAGATTTCAAAGTATTTTCTTTCCACTGTATTACACTCCCTCGTTACAGCAAAAACTCTACAAATCCATACTTAAGGCAGTTATGAAAAATAATAGAACTGCTAATGGCAAATACATTTGCAAGTCGTTTTGAATAATCCTTTAATTTTTTCTTTCTTAATAATGATTTTTAGTTTATCATGAGGGGAATGTTGGTATTCTTTTGTTTTAATCACCAACTTAGGTGGAAACCACAGATTCAAAGCTCACAAAGCAAATTCAAAGGTTAAAAGTCTGGGATTCAGAGAGACAGAGGAAAGGGACATTTTGATCCATGAAGCAGCTTATTCAGATTCAAGGAGATTTGGTAGGAACAATTGTTTCCTATGTTTACTGATGAAGTAGTCTGTCAAGTAAAAGAATGTGAGCTTCTCTCGCACCTGGTTGTTCTCTGGCTTGCAGCCTGCTTGGAAGTCCTCTTCAAGTCAAAGCAGGAAAATAAATCTTGCACATAAATCAATCTGTGGTCCCTGCTGAACAATTCTTGTCTTTGGGTTCTCATATAACGTTAGGGAAACTGAAGCGGTTCAATAGCATCAGTCCTTTTCAAATAATTTATATTTTAAGCTAAATCGGAAGGATTTCTTTGAGCCAGTTCCATTCAGTGGGATCCAAGAACCAAGGATGAGAGTGTTGGGTACATCTTTTCTCTCTTGGACCAAGGCAGGAGGAGCAGGCAGGGACTTTTACATCACAAATTCATCTTTCCACCCCGTGAATGCAGACTATGTAGAGAGTCAATGTAAGGTCAGTGTAAATACCAGATTAAATTTTCTTCTGATCTATCTAAAAATGCCACAAAAATTTGTATTAGACCTTACAACCAAGAAGGGGAGTGCGCAAGCTGTTCCCATGTTGACGTTTAAAACCATCTCATTTATTCTAAGGTGATATTTGTGCAATCCTTACACAATTATAATGGTGTGATTACTTGAAATGAAGATCATGTGTAGCAATAAATGGAAAAATATGACTATGTATACTACTATTTGCCTTTTTTATTCATTAGGAAAATTTGTGCTAAATTTGTCCATGTCCATTTCTCTTTATAAAAGTAGAATTAATACGATCTATTACTCTATTAATGAGGGACATTTTGCTCAGGAGTAGAACTGCATTATACATCTTTTCTTTTGCTTATGCAAGTTTCAGGAAAAGTAATTTGATGTTTTCTCATTCTCACTGTTACATTTATGAAAAAGTAATCATTTAGGCAGTTATGAATGTGTATGAATAAAAGTGTTTTGTTTTTCCTTTCTAAAAAACAGGAATGGCTACCTTATTGTTTGTTTCAAGGTCCTTCATTGCATCTTTTTATTTTCTTACTAAAACATTTGTTTTTAGATTACTATTTAATCGTTTGTTAACTACTTGAGCAAAAGGTCATGAAAATAGTTTAAGTAAATTTATACTTTTACATCCTAAAATAAAGGGCCGAACAATTAGAGTTGTGCAAAGAGAAGGCTGGTTTTTACTTGTTCTGTTGTTGTTCTTCCACTTCTCCTGCCCAACAGGGCAGTCTCATTCAGTCTTGGACACTAAATGAAAGTCTTAGGCACTAAATGAAAGGAGACTGGAATACATCAGCTTGAATGAAACCTCACCAGTAAGGAGTGTTTTCTGTGCAGCAGCTTAAGGAAGAATTCAGAATCTCAAATACACATATTTATTGTTCATTTTTCTTGGGATGGTGAGAGCAGCCTCCCTCTTGACTACTTAGTAAGTGGTGGCATCTGTTTGTGAAATGGTGGTTGAGGTAAGGGGGCAGAGGAAAGTGAACTTAAATCACGAGGTATCTGTCAGTCGAATCCAGTAGGCACCCAGCAAGTTTCTCCCAACATCTGCTATGTTTAGAGTTATGTAATGTGATGGAAGAAACATAGGCATTGCTGACTTTATCTTTTAAACATTTGGTTAGAATGCAAAGGAATTTCCCACTGACTTGTAACAAAACAATAAATTTTGTTGGTCCGTAAATTACCTGAAATAAAGTGTGTAGACAAAGAGTCCTAGAAACACAATCTAACATGGGTAACACATGGGGGCATTTAAAGAATTTTTTTAGAGTCAGGGTCTTGCTCTGTCTCCCAGTCTGAAGTGTAGTGGCATGATCATAGCTCACTGCATCCTCAAAGTCCTGGGCTTAAGCAGTTCTCCCACTTCAGCCTCCTGAGTAGCTGGGACTACAGGTATGTGTCACCATGCCCAGGTAATTTTTTAACATTTTTTTTTTTTGTAGTGACCTAGTCTGTCTTTGTTGTTCAGGCTGGTCTCAAACTCCTGGCCTCAAACGATCCTCCTGCCTCATTCTCCCAAAGTGTGGAATTGCAAGCATGAGCCACCATGCCTGGCTAGAGAGCAATTTTTTCAACACAGAAGGGCTAACTGTCTCCTGCGTGGCTCTGATGATAACTCTTCTGGCCTGAGGCAAGGACTCCAGCAGGGTGAAGAGCAAAGATGAACTCCTCAGAGAGTCAAAGGGTAAAATGTTGTATAAACACCTGGGGTTACTGCTTATCCTAGACAGCCTCCTAGATACATCATTTCTTTACTCATAAAGTTCTAGGGAACTTGTGCTTCCTTCCTTTCTGTTGGAAGTTGTAGCACATAAAGCCATAACACAGAGGATCGGAGAACTGGCTTTGGGGCCAGATCGTCTGATATTTTATCCTGTTGCTTAATATTTGTATAATTTGGGACAAGTTTCTTAATTCTATGCCTCAGGTTCTACATCTGTACAATACAAGTAACTACAACACCCATCTCCTCAGATTATAGTGATTATCGAGCCAATACCTATACAATGCCTAAAATATTGCCTGGCGTATTGTTAGCATTTAGTACACGTTATCACCTTTCCATCTCACCATTTCAATCAATACCGAAAGAAATGTTGATCTCTCCATTGACACAGTAGATAAAAACGAGGTTACACATGGATTCTTAAAGATAAATTTTCACTGTTCTCTTAAACGGCAAAAAAAAAAAAAAAAAAAAAAAAAAAAAGGTAAAATTTGGGCTAGAGTACTGTCAAGTTTGGTGTGGTAGACCAGAGTGCATTATTGAGTGTTGTGTCAGGAGAAAGAGGCAAAGCAGACAGGGCAAAGCCGGAATAATTCCTGGAAATAAAGAATCAGTGACAGAGGTGTAGGATAAGGAAGAGCTCGATAAAGGCTTGGATTTTCCCCTCCGTTATCCCTTATCACCACCTGCACTGCCAGAGCACACCTTCCTTGGACCAGTGCTGGAGCGAGATGAGAAATGAGAACGTTAGGTAGGCGGATCCAAGGGAAAGTAAGGCAGAGATGAAGTGGAAGCATAAATTATCACATATTTAAAAGAAAATGGAGGTAGAGAGGTAAGAAGGGAGCACTGTCAAGATATTTGAAGAGTGGTTGTGCTGATGAGCAAAGAGGGCAACCCTACGGCTGTCTGCTATTCAGGCTGGCCTTGCATACATGCATGTTGTGCCTAAAATTTTACAAAGTTTTGGGAATTATTATTCCTGACATAAAATTTTGGAAATTAGTATTCTTAAAATGACATCTTGCAAAACACATCACAATATAAAATGAGTTACATGATAAACTTCAGGACAACAGAGACTGCAAAAGTCAACATGAACCAGAATAGTCAAAAACGTTCTTATGGAGCGGTGGTAAACTAGGTTTTAAATAAAGGAATTGTATCTATGCAAAACAGACCCAAGAGTTAGGGTTTTCATGCTCTGTGTTAGAGGACTGAAAATGGTAAATCTTGAATGAAAATTCTGAATTGGTGATTTTTAAAGATGAGATTGGAAAAGTAGATTGATGTGACATTGAAGAGACCTTTGAATGCCAAGATGAAGGTTTCAAAAGAAATGTGTGTACAGTGGAAAGCTAATGAAATATGCAGAAATTATAAATTTATCTCATTGTATTCTCAAAGAGAATATCACTTCTCATTGTAATAAAGTGACTACATCAGATGCAGGAGATGCTAGAAATGCATGTGTATTAGTCCATTTTCATGCTGCTGATAAAGACATACCCGAGACTGTGTAATTTATAACGAAAAAGAGGTTTAATGGACTCACAGTTCCACGTGGCTGGGGAGGCCTCATAATCATGGTGGAAGGCAAAAGGCACATCTCACATGGCGGGAGACAAGAGAAAAAATGAGATCCAAGCAAAAGGGATTTCCCCTTATAAAACTATCAGGTCTCAGGAGACTTACCCACTACCACGAGAACAGTATGGGGGAATCCTCCCCAATGATTCAGTTATCTCCCACTGGGTCCCTCCTACAACACGTGGGAATTATGGGAGCTACAATACAAAATGAGATGTGGGTGAAGATACAGCCAAATCATATCAGCATGCAGTGAGGAAGCAACCAGAAAGCTTATACTGGAATGCTAACAGCAAAATGAAGAAGAGTCAATACAACATGTCAGAGAAATGTAGAAATGAAGATGTCATTAACCTTGATCTGAGCAGCGGTGGAGGACCATCGTTAGAATCTCAGGAGTTGAAGTCAGAGCAATCAAGGTTCAGTCCCTCGCCATGACGCTCACGTGTCCCATGTCTTGGTCAAGTTATTTAAACCTCTCTAATCAGAGTTTCTTCATCTGTAAAATGAGAATAACAGTTCACACCTTGCAGTTTTCTCTATATGTGTGAGGATTAAACAATGTAATGCATATAAATAATTCACTGTAATTTTATGGTAAGTTGCTCAATAAATATTTGTTATCATCGCATCGTTATACTTTATGGAAAATAATTACCTATTGTACATTGTCCCTTTTTCTCTAGAATGTAAGATCCTTAAGACCAGGGACTTTTGTCTGCTTTTTTCATTGATGTATCCCTGGCACCTATAAAAGATGCTCAATAAATAATGTGTTGAATAAATTATTGTTATTATTTTCACAATGGGAACTGGAAAAATAACAAGGCTTTGGTCAAACTAGACAAGTCAAAAGTGAAACTATTTTGAAGGCCAGAGGATGAAACATATTTTTAGATCATTAATGTTGAGCTCCCATTAAGGTGTTACCTTCCGAAAAGCGTCGCGTCGTCCATTGACTTAGACACGTTACACCTGTTCACTAGAACCAATCAGCAAACCTACCATTCCCACTAAAATGAAGACCTAGAGTATAGTGAAGAATATGCTCACCAGCTCTCAGTACTCAGAAAGGAAAGAGCTTCCTCAGTGTAGGGGAGCACTATTTGATAATAATAGAGACACAGAGAACAGGAATTCGAAGGAGGTTTCAACTCATAGAAGCTAGAAATGAAAGTGATCTGCTTCCAAAGATTATGTGGCCTTTTATGTTGTTCACAATATATAGCACACTCATTTTTTTGGTTTCAATGTCGTTTTAAGATTTTTGTTTAAAATTCTTTTTATGGCATCTTCGTGTTAAAATTAGTTGGTCATCATCACCTCACCCATTCCTTTCTAAATTGTTTCATTTTATTCTTTTAATTAATGTTGAGTGACAATTTAGGGTGGACAAATAGAACCTTTCAAAAGCCAACAGTAACTTATAGCCTACTGAATACAAATAGGGGAAAGAGATGAGAAGAGAGAACATTTGCACAAAGTGATAGGACTGAATATATGAGAAGCGAATCAAAACAGTATTTCAGCAATAAATGTGTTAGGAGGAAGATAGTACTTGTGAGTTAAATAACCAGAAAATAATTATATAAATGTCAGCAAGTCAAATTTATTGTATAGTGAATAATATAACTAAATTGGAATAGCCATTTATATAATCAACTATGGGAGAACAAACCTAAAATGGGAAGATTTACTGAGAACAAATACTTTGAGGTTAAAGATGCTGCCACAACATTTCTGAATGAAATAACACCTTTTATATGGATACTAATGTTACATAATACTAAGTGATTTAGTATCTATGTTCATAGTCTTAGAGCACCATAAACCTTATTGGGAAAGGCAGGTTATACTGGACATTTCAGAGAGTTAATGTTTGAAAAACAAGCTATGGCAAAAAAAAAAAAAGGATAAACAAGATCTAAGAGTTTGATAAATCACTGTCAGAGCTACAATTGGACCAAGATAGCAGGTGTAGAAATAGGGGCCCCCGAGGAGACAGAGGAAGTCGAAGATGAATGGTATCAAATGTTACCTTTAGTGGAAAACAACTTGGACAGAATGCTCTAAGCACTCAGGTTTCTTTATTGCAACTTCCCTTGTCTTTATTTTCCTTCGCCACTTTGAGAGTGATGCTCCGGATCACTGGAGCTCAGCACTGGAGTGAGCCACACAAAGTCTCATTTCAAGATGCTTTGCTTTTTTTTTTTGTAGGCTTCAACCTAACAGAAGGCCATAAAATCGGAACAGTTCATTGTGCTTGGGCAGAAAGCATTGTCACTGAGTTGATAGGCACTACCCTGGTCTCTGCAAAGCCCAGGTTCATCACAGCCAGCTTTATTTTTACCCTGTAGGCATTCTTACAGGATTTGCTAGTGTGAGAGGGAGGCTGAAACATGTCGACTTTGCCCAAGGATGCCCAGTTGAAATCACACTTTGTTGCAGGGGAGATTGTAACTCCTGGTGGCTTTCTTTAAGTTGGGCTTTCTTTGTCTTTTATTTTATTTCAGTTTATCTTCTACAGATTTTACACAATACTTTTCCCCAGAGCTTAACTTTCAGTTTCACCATGTGGAAACTTCGTTGCTTGAAAACTGATAGATCTTTATAAGAAAGGCATATGTCTTTCAGAAAATGAATTCCAGGGTGATCAAGTTTGTGTCTGTGCAACTCCCCACTGGGAAGTAAATGTGACTCTAAATGTTTGGTTTTAGGTATAAAATGACATAAATATAATATCACTACCTCTAAATATTTTTAGAGGTGGAATACGTTACACCTGCTTCCAAAGATTATGTGGCATTAGATATGGAATACGTCACGAAGTGGAATACGTTACATTATAATGTTTTAAATGCCCCAAATGGAATGTTTGAATTTTGATCGAATGTAGTATCTTTGATTTTTTAAGCCCTATATGGTATTACACAAATCTGAAAAGTTCTTAGTCATTTTGCTAATGAATGAAAAAGAATTTGAGCTCTTACTTTATTAAAAGTATTCTGGGCATGTGAGGGATATAGAAATACGTGTCAGAATTTCTGCCTGTAAAAAGTTTTCCATTGAGGTAAAGAAGTAATACTTGTAATAAAAGCAAGTACTACAAAGGTAGTTTATGCGATTAAGCACTAGATTAGTTCTACAATTTAAAAGAGGAAGCACCTGAGAAATCAACTAATTCAACCTCCTTGTTTTAAGGAATGTAAAAGTTGGTCCCAAAGAAGTTATTTTCATAGAATTACAGAAACCAACTCAAACCAAGGTGCCCTGACTCCAAGTTGAAGATTCTGGACTCCAGTCTCACTGTTGGGTTGCTGTAACAGCAGCAGGTGTGAAGCTGGTTGACTGTCACTGGACAGTGGTTACCACTTTGTCTGAGTCCATAAGACAGATCACCCACACAGAGCCAAGAATGTTTAAGTTTGAGTTTCACCATGTAGAAGTGGGTTTATTACTGACAGGCAGCAGGGAACAGTTCCCCAGCTCAAGAAAGCTGCCTGGGATAGATGGGGTCTGTTCTGTACATGCTCCACTTGCACCACAGCTGAGGCATCCCACAAAGCAGCCTGCCCTGGGTTTTTCACAAAGCAGGACACCCTGGTCTAAAGCATGGAAAGACATCCTGTTTTCTGATGTGAGGGGCTGGAACAGAGCCTGTTCCAACCAGCTCCTCTGTTATCACAGGGTGCTGTATTGTCAGCACATTCTACAGTTATTCTTGAGAACTACAAGTGAGAAAGAGGGGAGAACTGGATCAGTCCAAGGCCACCTGGGGAACTGTCCTACACAGGGAAGGATGAAAGCAGGTCGTTGATCCATGACAGCTGAGGTGCCAGGTAAGTTGCATGCTTGTGGTTGACCACAGACGATATATGCTTACTTCACTCGGGGGGAAGGAGGGGGACAGTCTAATAGGCCAGTATTGGCACGGGGAAGGAAGAGGATGCATCCAGTACCCTCCTATAGTGAGTCCTGAAAAGCAGAAAGAAAGGAAAAAGAGAATAAATATGTATTGCATGTCCACTGTGTCCTAGGCCTACTGATTGGTGATTTATATGCAGCAATTAATATTTTCTGAAAGAAAGAATGATTTCATTTATTTCTCACAATAACCTCACAGGTATGATTATTCCTAGCTTAAAAAAAATTAAGGCTTATTCGCTCAGTCAGCAAACGTTCACTCACAGCCTGTTGGGTTCCAGGTCTTGTGTTAGATACAGGGGTACAAAGATGGCCCCCATTGCTACTCTATGAGAAAAGCAGATATATTGAAAATTGAGATCCATAATTTGTATATAAACTCTGCCTCGGAGTTTTACTACCATGAACTCAGAGTAGTTAAAAAATATTGTGAAGATCACAAAGCTTAAAAATGGACAAGTTAGCTTTCCAAACAAGAGCTTTTTAAAAGTACTTTAAAATCCCTACCCTTTCCATTACAAATCACAGCCTGCCATTTGAGAGGGGGGCAGAGAAAATGATGTCACCTAGGTAGAACGTATTTGCGTGAGGAAATGCTGCTAAGAAGAACAGGAGCCCAGTCAAGCACAGTGGAAGAGGCAACAGGAGACAGCTATTTAAATGGATTTAAACCCAAACATTTCGAGTGAATGAGAGATTTTGCACAACAGAGAAGTTTGCAAAATCACAAGAGGCTATGAGAGGAATCATGTACCGTGTCTAGGAGACCAAAAGCAATTAAAGAGAAATTAACCAAGTGCAGCCAAGATCATTTTTCTTTAATGCAGAATTCATATAAAATCACATTCTCTTCCCTGTTCTTTCTTCTGTCTCATACACACCCTCACATATGTGCTACAACCCAGGGGTTCAAAGTCCTTCCCCTGCCTCTCCCTGCTTCCAGTCCCTGCAATACATGCAGACCTGCCCAGAAGTCTCTTTGAAATCCATGGACAGAGTGGAGGACTGCGGATATATCTAATTTCAAAAGTCATGGCCCTATTCTGTGCTGTTATGGACTAGGGCGTTATGCTGAAGTAGCCCAGAGACTCCTTTTGAAATCAGGATGCTTGTGAGTCTGAGAGTTAGGCATGCCTGTGGAGTGTGGAAAACAAGAAACACCTATTATGAATCATTTATTCCCCCCTTTGGCTTAAATTGTGTGTGTGTTTTTTTTTTTTTCAAATTATCATTATACTTTAAGTTCTGGGATATATGTGCAGAACATGCAGGTTTGTTACATGGGTATGCATGTGCCATGGTGGTTTGCTGCACCCATCAACCCGTCATCTACATTAGGTAATTCTCCTAACGCTATTCCTCCCCTAGCCCTTCACCCCACCACAGGCCCTGATGTGTGATGTTCCCCTCCCTGTGTCCATGTGTTCTCATTGTTCAACTCCTCAATTCCCACTTATGAGTGAGTGAGAACGTGTGGTGTTTGGTTTTCTGTTCTTATGTTAGTTTGCTGAAAATGATGGTTTCCAGCTTCATCCATGTCCCTGCAAAGGACGTGAACTCATCCTTTTTTATGGCTGCATAGTATTCCTTGGTGTATATTTGCAACATTTTCTTCATCCAGTCTATCATTGATGGTTCTAAGTCTTTGGTATTGTGAATAGTGCTGCAATAAACATATGTGTGCATGTGTCTTTATAGTAGAATGATTTACAATCCTTTGGGTATATATTCAGTAGCAGTAATGGGTTCTACTATAATCGCATTACTGGTGTTTACCATTCTTAAGTGAGGCAGCCTTTTGAAAAACTGAGGCATGTGAACTTGTGTTGAATATGTAAATGCAAGAATCTCAGTGTTTATATATAAAACAACAGTAATGAAAAAGTAGAATTGCCCTCGGAGTTGATATGGTTTGGCTGTGTCCCCATTCAAATCTCAACTGGAATTATATCTCCCAGAATTCCCACATGTTGTGGGAGGGACTCAGGGGGAGGTAATTGAATCATGGAAGCCAGTCTTTCCTGTGCTATTCTTGTGATAGTGAATAAGTCTCACGAGATCTCATGGGTTTATCTGAGATTTCCGCTTTTGCTTCTTCCTCATTTTCTCTTGCTGCCATGATGTAAGAAGTGCCTTTCCCCTCCTGCCATGATTCTGAGGCCTCCCCAGCCATATGGAACTGTAAGTCCAATTAAACATCTTTTTCTTTCCAGTCTCAGGTATGTCTTCATGAGCAGCATAAAATGGACCAGTACAGCAGTTTTGTAATTCTGTTACAGATGAGTACTAACAACACTGGCCTATAATGTTTGAACATACACGTAGCTATAGTGAAATAAGCACAGTGGAAATGAGTAGAGGGCTTGTGGCTATTGTGTTCACTTTTCCAAACCCCTAGAGCAAACAGAACAAAATACTGAATACTGCCCCCACCCTGCAAATAAATGACAACTCAGGGCTACAAAAGGGTCAGTTGTTTCAGGGGTCCCAATTCACTCCAAATACTTTCTGTGCCCTGAGATAATGTGACCAAAATATTAAACTGTAAAAATCACAGAACCTTAAAATGTTTTAGACTCAAGACAATGTTAGAGATCATCTCGTTCAGTGATTGTTAATCTTTTGGGGAACGGAAATAATCTAATGTAATTTGGTCACTCTCTCCCTGAAAAACATGCACATATGCATGTTAATACAAATTTTCATACAATTCTAGGGAGTTCAGGATTTTCTGAAACTCCTTATTGCCAGATTAAGAATTCCAGAGCTCATGAAACCCTCACTTAAATCAAAACTCCTCACTTTGCAGAATTCACGTGCCTTGCGCAGGGTCACATGGCTACCTGGTTGGAGCAGAACATAAGGCAATACTTAGCCCACATCTGATTAGACTTACCACTC
This sequence comes from Homo sapiens, assembly GCF_000001405.40. Taxonomy (NCBI): domain Eukaryota; kingdom Metazoa; phylum Chordata; class Mammalia; order Primates; family Hominidae; genus Homo; species Homo sapiens. The sequence goes on along the minus strand of NC_000008.11, from coordinate 15,845,197 downwards.
AAACTACAGCAACGCTTTATCCGAGGGACTTAAAATCACCTCCTAAAGTTAATGATGAGGTTTCTTCTTGTTCTAACTTATGATTTTGCCTTCTCTAGCTCCATTAGTAACTTTTTAGATAGGCTTGAACTAAAAGAGATTTTTTAATTAGGTGGTACTATTTCCATTTGATTAACTGCATTTTCTGTTCTGCTGTTTCTATTGTATTTTTTTAAGTTTTCTTATTATTTTGAAATGCCAAGGTAATATATCTCTTTAAGAGGTGGTAGAAAATATTTTAAGACCACTCACGATCATCTCAGGGATAGTCCTCAGAGTATCACATATTCATGCTGCCACATTAAATTGCTTTAATGTAAAATGAGATTCTAGAGTAGATAGGCTTTAAAATATCGGAGGCAGTATCAGTTCTATCAAAAGTCACAGGTTGGTAATCTAAAGTAGATATTGTCAGGTTTTCTGATGAGGTAGGCATGCTAATCTCAATACAGAGATTTAAAGAATGACTGTCCTAGGACCAGCAGGTGACTGGAGGTTACAATGCTTTTACCATTGCAATAATGGAGATTTTTAATATACTAATATACAGCCATTGTCTTTTCATTTTAGCAACACCAATGGCAGGAAAAAAGTAACATAAATCTGAGTTATGGACATGTGATCTTTTTCTAATCTCATTTTTCTCTTCTCAGCCAGCAGTTGGGTTCATCATAACTCTTTTGTTCTCCGTTTGTGCCTTGAAAATAGTCCTATCATTGATTTATTAGGCCACATATTATTTGTTTATTTTTCTGTCTCCTCAAATAGACTCTTAGCTTATTAATCACTGAGGCTCTGTCCTTTGATACTTTGAAAGCACAGTAACTAGCCCAGTGCCCAACGCATACTAAATGCTGGATAAATATCTGTTGAATTAATAACTAAGGGAAGTAAATTATATTAATTTTCTGCATACTCCATTAACTGAAGACATAACCAAACAATCACAGAAAAACTTTAATAAAAACTACAACAAAGAGATATTTTTTTTGCCATCCCTTCATTAAAATTGTTTGTCATGGTGCATTCTGCTACACCAGAAAACAAAAATGAAACAAGGGGACAGGACCATTGTTCCTTCAGAGGTAGAAGAGATTGACAAGGTCATAAACTTACAGATTCGCTGAAATTGATTAGGATATTTGAGAAGGGAATTCTGAAAGATTTGGTAGAAATTAGATTTTCCTTCTATCTCCCAATAAACCAAAGAGACTGAGTTTCCAAACACAAATGCTACAAATACAGCTTAAGGTAGAATTGTCCTGAGACTTCATCATTATTTATCAGAGGTTGGATTAACAGTTCAGGACAGATCTTACTGACACATGAGATATTCAAGGACAAAGCTATGTTTCATAAGACATCTTTGTATCCCCAGTACTAAGTATATAATCTGGAACACAGGTGTTTTATATACATCATACACAAACACACACATACATATACATCTTATATTTAGATATAGATATACACCATATAGATATAGATAATTATAAACATCATGTAGATATAGATGTATATATGTGTATGTGCGTGTATATATATATATATATATATATATATATGTACATCAAGTTGTGTTATATTGGTGTTCACCTGTGTAAAGTCATTTTTGAGATGGTAGAAAATTCTACCATCAACTTTATCTCTTCTATCCAACTGCCTAAGAATCTGAGACACCCATTGCTATAAATTCATCTCTTTAAGTTTTTCTTCTAGTACTTGGAGTTTTTAAAAATCGAAGAGTTAAATAACATTCTGCAGAATTTCTTAAAACATGTAGCATGGTATTGTGTCTTGTGACACAATATCCAAGAGGGAAGATATATTCCACCAGCTTTTCCAAACGTATCTGACCCAAAAACTTTTATCAGAAAACATATTTTTTGAATACTGTTGTACAGATCACCCATTAGCAATGAATACAATTAACTAATGTATTGTAGTGTGTTTGCCATAAATAAAGTTTAGGGAGCCTTACTGTATAGAGAAACTCTTGAGAAGGTACTTAAAATAAAAGGAAAGAAAAGGAAGAGATCATAAGAGTAAATTCTGTTATTTTGCAGTGAATGTGTTATTTCCTCAAAGCCCTCGCTCCTCTTCCTTTCCTTGGGAGACTGGAGCATGAAATATACTCATGTTCTCAGGCTGTGGTTGCTACAAATTACTATAACAACAATAATCATTCATGGTTATTGAGCACTGTCAAAAAACAATGTGAACACTTTTATGGTTCTGCATGGTCATGACTTTCTGAGCAAAAATTATTGGCAACATGGCTGAAAGGATAAGTGAATGGTAAAAACCGTGAAAGCTAAAACAGTGAAATATCCTGGGGAGATGTACAGGTTTCCTCTATTTTGGTGCCACGTGTTCATGTTTCAAAGAATTGTCAATACCAAAGGACCTTCTCGCGTTTGTCTCAGAGAAGACTTGTTTACATCACAGACCAAAAATTTTTCTGTTTTTCTTAGGAAGCAGGAACGGTAGCTGTTTAGCTCCTACATAAGCTCTGAGGTTCGTAATTGCAAGCCTTCTTTCTCTCCTGTGTACAAATCTTGCTTTGCATGCACAGGAAATATCTGCCCTCATCATTTTGCTCCATGGAGGACTGCGGATGGGAAACTGATGCTAAGATCAGCAATAAGTAATCAGTCTGCTTCTGATCCAGAAACCTTTGTTAACTGTCAGGATAAAATAAATAAATAGAGACATGAAAAACATGTCAAGGCTTTATTACATTCCAGGTACTGTGCTAAGAGCTTTGTGTACAATATCAAGTTTAATCTTCACAGTGTGAGCATATGAGGTAAGTATTAAGACTGATTTATAGATGATGAGGCTGGCGGTCAGAACTGCTAAGTGACCAGTCAACCCAGGTTCACACTGCTCATAATCAGTCGGGATGCACTTCTAACCCAAGTCGGAAGGATTCATACTCGTTCTCTTAGGATGTAGCTTCTTACAAGGAGTGATTCTATCTGTTTTGTTCATTGATGTATCCCCAATGCCAAGAAGAAGGTTTTGTGTTCAGTAAGTGCTCAAAAAACATGTGTTGACTGATTATTTTATTATTCTGAGGAATAAGAAACGTGGGTAACATTCTTGGGAACTAAATTCCAGTTAGCAAGTCACTAAAATTGCCATTATATAGGTTATGTTTAATTCAACCATGTAGTCTTCTAAAATTTTTAAAGAACACATCAGGGAAATACTTAGAACCTTAAAATAAGTCATAGATAGCACTTAGATTTGGTATATATGGCTTGTATTTAAGCTGAATTCATTCTAAATGGAGTGAAAGAAGTACATTTGTAGTTACACATTAAACAAATAACATTTTTAGGCCCGGTGTGGTGGCTCACAGCTGTAATCGCAGCACTTTGGGAGGCCAAGGCGGTCAAATCGCCTGAGGTCAGGAGTTCAAGACCAGCCTTGCCAACATGGCAAAACCCCGTCTCTACTAAAAATACAAATATTAGCTGGGTGTGGGGGCATGTGCCTGTAATCCTAGCTACTCAGGACACTGGGGTAGGAGAATCGCTTGAACCCGGGAGGCAGGGGTTGCAGTGAGCCGAGATCCTGCCACTGCACGCTAGCCTGGGAGACAAAGCAAGATGCCATCTAAAAAAAAAAAAATTTTGTCTCATAACAGAGGAAAGATTAATTCTTTGCATTATAATTAGTATAACAGATTTCTAAGAAAGTAATAAAATGTAGTTCAGTTTGGCTGATTATATTAGAATAAAATGTACATGAATAAAATCTGCATACAAATAGAAAGGAAGGAGGACTTGACCTTAGCTAGTAAATTTATTTACTTCATATTTCCATGAAATGTATTAATTACCACAATGAATTGTGTTAAAATATATAATCCAATTCCTAGTCTACTCAACCTTTAGAATATAGAGTTAGAACTATGTATCTGGACATACAGAAACTGAAGCAGATTGATGTATATATGTGTGTGTGTATATATATATATATAAAACATATAGCTGTTTGCAACCAAAGAACATATGAACAATAAATTTGGATACTGGCTACGTGGCTGTGATAATTAATGCCAAACTAGGGAACAACTTCCACTAATGGAAAATATAAACACAGGTTTTAATTGGACTAAAGGGACTCCTAGTCCCATTAATAACGGATTTTGAAACACACAAAATACATGTCCTCTAGCAACCACTTTCAATACAACAGTGGACCAAAAAGAATTTTTTACTTCAACCTTAATTCCTATATGAGCACTGCATTTGCCATTAAATTACTGACTTTACTTCTTGTTTATGTCATTAACTTAGGCTTAGGGACTGCATAAATTTTTATTTCTCACTTTGGCGTTGGCATCCAAGTGGATAGATGATAAATTTAGAGACAGCCATTATTGTTTCTTTCAAAGGATAAAAATTATAAGCACAATGGAATTTTCTCTAGAAAAACAGGCTAAAAGTGTTTTTCTATTTATTCTGAGACTTTCTGAGCAGGACCTATTTTTTTCATACCAGATTATAAAACTATTGATTTTTAACTAGGAATTAAGAAACTTCAGAAATTAGAAACCTACCATCCTTTTTTCTCTTCCATGCCCTAATAGCATCTTATTCTTTCACTAAATTGACATTTTAAAATAATTTCATCTTTGAACTTTCTAGGCTCTTTACTCCTAGACTTGGAGTTAGTTTCTTGCTACATATCTCAAAGACTTTTCATTCTTTGCTTCTGCTCCTGAGTTTTTGTGTGTGTGTGTGGTTATTTATTGATTTATTTTTTTAAATTATACTTTAAGTTCTAGGGTACATGTGTACAACGTGCAGGTTTGTTACATATGTATACATGTGCCATGTTGGTGTGCTGCACCCATTAACTCATCACTTACATTAGGCATGTCTCCTAATGCTTTCCCTCCCTCCTTCCCCCACCCCACAACAAGTCCCAGTGTGTGATGTTCCCCTTCCTGTGTCCAAGTGTTCTCATTGTTCAGTTCCCACCTATGAGTGAGAGTATGCGGTGTTTGTTTTTTTGGTCTTGCGATAGTTTGCTGAGAATGATGGTTTCCAGCTTCATCCATGTCCCTACAAAGGACATGAACTCATCATTTTTTATGGCTGCATAGTATTCCATGGTGTATATGTGCCACATTTTCTTAATCCAGTCTATCATTGATGGACATTTGGGTTGGTTCCAAGTCTTTGCTATTGTGAGTAGTGCCACAGTAAACGTATGTGTGCATGTGCCTTTATAGCAGCACGATTTATAACCCTTTGGGTATATACCCAGTAATGGGATGGCTGGGTCAAATGGTATTTCTAGTTCTAGATCCCTGAGGAATCGCCACACTGTCTTCCACAATGGTTGAACTAGTTTACATTCCTACCAACAGTGTAAAAGTGTTCCTATTTCTCCACATCCTCTCCAGCACCTGTTGTTTCCTGACTTTTTAATGATCACCATTCTAACTGGTGTGAGATGGTATCTCATTGTGGTTTTGATTTGCATTTCTCTGATGGCCAGTGATGATGAGCATTTTGTCATGTATCTGTTGGCTGCATAAATGTCTTTTTTTGAGAAATGTCTGTTCATATCCTTCACCCACTTGTTGATGGGGTCGTTTGTTTTTTTTCTTGTAAATTTGTTTGAGTTCTTTGTAGATTCTGGATATTAGCCCTTTGTCAGATGAGTAGATTGCAAAAATTTTCTCCCATTCTGTGGGTTGCCTGTTCACTCAGGGATGCCCTCACTCACCACTTCTATCCAACATAGTGTTGGAGTTCTGGCCAGGGCAATCAGGCAGGAGAAAGAAATAAAGGGTATTCCATTAGGAAAAGAGGAAGTCAAATTGTCCCTGTTTGCAGATGACATGATTGTATATTTAGAAAACCCCATCATCTCAGCCCAAAATCTCCTTAAGCTGATAAGGAACTTCACCAAAGTCTCAGGATATAAAATCAATGTGCAAAAATCACAAGCATTCCTATACACCAATAACAGACAAACAGAGAGCCAAATCATGAGTGAACTCCCATTCACAATTGCTTCAAAGAGAAGAAAATACCTAGGAATCCAACTTACAAGGGATGTGAAGGACCTCTTCAAGGAGAACTACAAACCACTGCTCAGTGAAATAAAAGAGGATACAAACAAGTGGAAGAACATTCCATGTTCATGGGTAGGAAGAATCAATATCGTGAAAATGGCCATACTGCCCAAGGTAATTTATAGATTCAATGCCATCCCCATTGAGCTACCAATGACTTTCCTCACAGAATTGGAAAAAAACTACTTTAAAGTTCATATGGAACCAAAAAAGAGCCTGCATTGCCAAGACAATCCTAAGCCAAAAGAACAAAGCTGGAGTCATCACGCTACCTGATTTCAAACTATACTACAAGGCTACAGTAAACAAAACAGCATGGTACTGGTACCAAAACAGAGATATAGACCAATGGAACAGAACAGGGCCCTCAGAAATAATACCACACATCTACAACCATCTGATCTTTGACAAACCTGACAAAAACAAGAAATGGGGAAAGGATTCCCTATTTAATAAATGGTGCTGCGAAAACTGGCTAGCTCCTGAGTTTTTTTAAAGTAAAGGTTTCCATTGAAAGGTCAACTTCCTGGAGCTGAAAGTGGGCCAACATTTGGATTTGAACGTGGAGACTTTATCACTCAAAACTCTGAAAAGAGGGGTAATGGTAGAAGGTGGGTCACAGTCATGATATATAGTTGAATCTGGAAACTGAGCTATCCTGGCATTATAGTTATGACTTTATTAAAATAGAAGCCTTCTAAAACTCTGAATGACAAAGTATTTGGGATGGTTTCCAAGCACTGGTATGGGGTGCAAAATGAATCCAAGAAAGTTCACATTGGGTGAATATCCCCATAAATGCAAAGTATAAGTCTCAAAGGTAAATGATATATCCGGAGGTGCTAAACCAAAATTTCTTGCTTACAATAACAAAATCTGTGCACAGGCTAGGAAGATATTTTCAGGGCACAGACAAAGGCTCTTTTAGACAAGTGATATTCGCAGGAGGTGGTCTATTGATACAACTGGAGGGAGAGAGAGACTTTACATTATGAACAACTATAGAATTGGCTATCTCCATCCACTAGCAAAGAAGTAAAGCATAAGAGAATAAATAGTAAGTCATGATTGCAGTTCCTGCCAGTCTGGAATACAACCTTAGACTCTTCTTTCATGCAAACTCCTGGTAAAGATTTGTTTAAAGAAAAACTGATTTTAAAAACTGATAAATAATTTTAAAAGAAGTCAAAATAACTTCTAAACCAAGATACTACAGGAAGAGATGGGGTTTGAAAAAGCAAAAATAAATGGCAGACAAAGAATACTCACCAGAAAATGGTTGTTACAGGCCAGACAAAAGTTATTATAAAATGCCTTCCATGAATTAAAAAAATTTAGTCAATTTGACTCTGAAGCTAGAACACTAAACAAAGACAGAGAAAGTCAGGTGAGTGATAACAAGACAACAGAAAAAGATTAAATGTGAGTTCGGCTGGCAGATCTCAGAAAATGGAAGGGGAAAAATCACAGAACTTCGGGACAAATTAGAAGCAACACAAATGATGATTAATATTGCTAAACAGTAAGGAACATGGGGGAAAGACGAAAATCAGGAAAGTGAAATGGAATTTGATAAAGAATTTAAAAGAATAAAAGAAAATGATAGATACAGAAGAAAGGCAGATGAGATCCAATGTACGTATAATTAGTCTGACAAAAAGAAACAATGACAATAAAAACTAATACATAATCCAATACATTTAAATGTGTAGTACAATAAAGCTCTTGAGAAATAAATAAATGCTTCAATTTACAGTTTGGAAAAGCACATATGCCATAAGAAAAAACTGAATGATTTCAGTTATCTTAATAAGTTACGTGATTTTTTAAAAAAAAAGACATAATCCCTTTTCAAATGTGAGAAAAAAATCAAATTATCGTTTGATTTAAAATAATTACCTTCAGCCTCAGATTTATCCACTACAGCATACACTGCCAGCAGACAGTAGAACAATAGCTTTTAAACATTTCTCAAGGAAATAAGCAGTGACTTAAGAATCTTACAGTCAGACAAACAGTGATAAAAGAATGAAAAATCAGACCTACCTTATTTAACATAGAAAAAAAACTAGTTATTATTAAATTCAGTGTGAAGATTTCAATAAATGTGGGAATTGCAGTTATATAACAGTGTTCATATCTTATAAACCTTTACAATCAAGAAATGATATAGCCCAAAAAAGTGAGGGAGGGAAGGGAGAGGAAAAGTAGAAGTATAAAACTGCAAGTTTATCCATTTTTAACAGCTAAAATTAAAAGCATATCATTTAAAGTTAGAAATTAAGTGACAGAGGTGAAAGTATATGTGACAATAAACATGTATTTAATTGGCAATATAAATGAACTAAAATTTGATTATTTAAATGGTGTAAGTGGAAGGAAGATAGATAGATTAATATATAATAGGAAGTCACGCAAAAGAATTGTAAAGGTTTACAGTCCTAAGAAGTCAACCAAAAAAGTATTTAAAATTTTAAAGAACGTATTTAGACTACAGGGAGTGGAAAAGGGTAAGACAGAGAACCATGTATTTTATATATGTCTAGTACCAATCTTATATTAATTTTTTTTTTTTTTTTGAGATGGAGTCTCACTCTGTTGCCCAGGCTGGAGTGCGGTGGTGTGATCCCAGCTCACTGCAACCTCCACCTCCCAGATTCAAGGGATTCTGCTGCCTCAGCATCCGAGTAGCTGGGATTACAGGCACCCGCCAGCGCAATTTTTTTTTTTTTAAGTATTTTTAGTAGAGGCAGAGTTTCACCACAATGGTCAGGCTTGTCTTGAACTCCTGACCTCAAGCATTCCACCCACCTTAGCCTCCCAAAGTGCTGGGATTACAGGCATGTACTACCATGCCCAGCTGTGTTACTTTTAAACTTTGTGATTATACCATTTTGAAAACAAAAAAAAATAATTTTATAATGAAATTAAACAATAGTATGAGAATAAATGAAGCAAATGCAAACAGAAAGAAAACAAAGCTTTTGATCATAATATAAGACCAAGTTAAGTTCAAGTCAGAAAAAAACTGAAATAAAGTTACTTTATATAGCTAAAGAGTGGAATTTGCAATGACTGTAGAACAGTTTGGAACTTACATACACTAAATAAATACACTGTAAACTATCAAAAAGCAAAATCTTTGAATGTAAGAAGAAGAAATATGCAAAAATACATCAATATCAGAAAATTATAATTCTTTCAGTCCATGATAGATGAAGTAAATAAAAAATAAGTGATTTATAAAACCTAAACACATAATTAATAAAGTGGAACACATTGACACTCTTCTCCAAACCCCACAACGCACACATACATCCCCCATACACACTGAAAGTAGAGACTGTATCTTCTCTCCTAGCTGCACAGAGCATTCCAAAAATATTTTACCATATTAGGTACAAAAAATTCCATAAATTATAATTATTTAAAACAACATTGTCTGGTTACAATAAAATAAAACTTGAACTTATCAACAAGATATGAGGGGAATGTATAAAACAATGCTCAGAAAAAGTTATAATCTTCAAAGAAATTAAAATTACTAGAAAACCCACTCAAGAAGTTAGTAACAAGATTAAAAAACCAAACTAGCAAATAAACATAAAGGCAGGAATCAATGAAATAGAAAAGAGAAAAAGTGTGAACTAATGATATATTCCAATTCTTCCATTAAAAAAATCAGCAAAACAGTTGAATCCTCATATAAATTAATAAAAGGAGAAAAAGCATAAATTCTAAAATAGTAATTGCTACAGGAAAAATAACAGAGACATAGAAGATATTCTAAGAATCATAGAAAATGACTTTTTCAACTCTACGTAAATAAGTTTACAAACCTGAATGTAAAGGATGATTTTCTTTAAAAATATCACTTATGAAAGTGATTTCAAAAAGGATAAGTCTAAAAAGATGAGTTACCATAAAAGAAAAATTAAAAGTTACTGAAGAGTAGCATGAAAGATGAAAATTATCCCCCAAAAAATTGTTTATGAAAGGAAAGTAACAATGTTGTAAATGAGACATAAAGTCCAGCTTACAGTCATGCTTCCCTATACTTGGGGGATTGGTTACATGACCCTTGCATGTCCTAACCTGTGCATACTTAAGTCCCACAACCAGTCCTGGGGAACCTGTGCACATGAAAAGTCAGTTCTCTGTATATGCAAGTTTAACATCTCATGAATACTGTATAAAAATCTGCTTATAAATAAACCTTACTGTAAAAACCCTTGTTGTTCAAGGGTAAACTGTACTATGTAAATGGTAGCATACAAAGAAAAGGAAATGACCTTAATCATTAAAGTAGGTTGTATAAATAAATTACCAGAAAAACAGGCCAACAGAATACTGAATGAATTAACTCAATAAGACTAGGAATGAAAAGTTGTTTCAATGATAGGAAATATATGAAATATGCCATATCCATAGAAAAAAGAAAATTCAATGATTACCCAGCTGCTAAAAAGGCATATAATAAAATGTATTGTTATTCTTAATGAAAACTTGTTAAAAAGGAATAAATAGGCACTTACCTTGCAATAGATAATGTTGAAACATACCTGTTTCAGTCTAAAAAACAGTATTGTTCTTAACTGAGAAATGAAAGACACCTTCCCACGGAGGCAGAAAGAGAACAAAGGTATCCGCTATGGTCACTACAGATTTGTTCTGGCAGAACTATTCAACACAATGAGACAAGAGAAAGAAATTGATGACACAGTAACTAAAAAGAAAGAGTGTACTGATTATTAATTTTGTTTGGAAAACCTAGGAATAAATTTAGTATGAAAGTGCAAGGTCAATATGAAGAAAGTAATTTTATTAATAAATAAAAATGAAGAATTGAAAAAATGAAAACTTATGTAATGTGCTCTGACAAGAAGTTTTAATATCGGTAAGATTTCAACTTTTACCTGGAATTAGACAACGTGAAAAAGAAAGTAATGAGGAGAGTCGGGAAGAGTACTATAAGAAAAATATAAAACCATAAAAGCTAATTCATTGTGATACTCATAAATAGTATGATAGACAAATTGAACTGAAAAGAATGTGTAGAAATAAATTTGAATGCACATATACTTTGATAAATATGATTTTCAGACTACAGTGGAAAAAATGAACTGATCAGTAAACGTTCTCTATATTAATGGTAGTCATCTAGGAAAAAATTGAGTTTATATCTCACACTTTAAAACACCTTTTTTTTTTTTAACTTTTAAGTTCAGGGGTACATGTGCATGTTTGTTATATAGGTAAACTTGTAACAACGGGGTTTGTTGTACAGATTGTTTTGTCACCCGGGTATTAAGCCTAGTACCCATTAGTTATTTTCTGTGGTCATTTCTCTCCTCCCACCCTCTACCTTTTGTTAGGTCCTAGTGTCTCTTGTTCTACCTCTCTGTGTCCATGTGTTCTCATAATTTAGCTCCACTTACAAATGAGACTGTGTGGTATTTGGTTTTCTGTTCCTGCATTGATTGGCTAAGGATAATGGCCTCCAGCTCCGTCCATCTTCCTGCATTATTTTTTATGGCTGCATAGTATTCCGTGGACTACCACATTTTCTTCATCCAGTCTACCGTTGCTGGGCATTTAGGTTAATTCCTTGTCTTTGTTAATGTGAATAGTGCTGGAATAAACGTATGTGTGTATGTGTCTTCATGTTAAAATGATTTATATTCCTTTTGGTATATACCCAGTAATGAGATTGCTGGTCAAATGGTATTTCTGTCTTTAGGTCTTTGAGGAATTGCCACATTGTTTTCCACAATGGTTGAACTAATTTACACTCCCATCAACAGCGTATAAATGTTCCTTTTTCTCCGCAACCTTGCCAGCACCTGTTATTTTTTGACTTTTTAGCAAGAGCCATTCTGACTGGTGTGAGATAGTATCTCATTGTGGTTTTGATTTGCATTTTTCTAATGATCAGTGATGTTGAGCTTTTACTTATATGCTTGTTGGTCACATGTATATCTTCTTTTGAAAAGCGTCTGTTCATGTCCATTCCCTGTTTTTTTACTTCCGATTATGTGATCAATTTTAGAGTAAGTGCCATGTCATGATGAGAACAATGTATATTCTGCTGTTTTTGAATGGAGAGTTTGTAGATATCTATCACATCCATTTAATCCAGTGATGAGTTCCAATCTGGGATATCTTTGTTAATTTTTGGTTTGATGATCTATCTAATACTGTCATTGGGGTGTTGAAGTCTCTCACTATTATTGTGTGGGAGTAAAAGTCTCTTTAAAGGTCTCTAAGAACTTGCTTTAGGAATGTGGGTGCTCCTGTGTTGGGTGCATATATATATTTAGTATAGTTAGGTCTTGTTGAATTGAACCCTTTACCCTTATGTAAGGCCCTTCTTTGCCTTCTTTGGTCTTTGTTGGTTTAAAGTCTGTTTTGTCTGAAATTAAGATTGCAACCTTTGCTTTTTTCTGTTCTCCATTTGCTTGGTAGATTTTCCTCCAGATCTTTATTTTGAGCCTGTTGGTGTCATTGCATGTGAGATGGGTCTCTTGAAGACAGCATGCCAATGGGTCATAGTTCTTTATCCAGCTTGCCACTCTGTGTCTTTTGATTGGGACATTTAGCCCATTTACCTTCAAGGTTAGGATTGTTATATGTGGATTTGATCCTGTCATCATGATGTTAGCTGGTTATATGCAGACTTGTTTGTGTGGCTGATGTGTAGTGTCACAGGTCTGTGTACTTCAGTGTATTTTTGTTGTTTTTGGTAACAGTCTTTCCATATTCAGTGTTTCCTTCAGGTGGGTAAGGTGGGTCTTGTGGGAATGAATTCCCTCAGTATTTGCTTGCCTAGAAAGGATCTTGTTCCTCCTTTGCTTATGAAGCTTAATTTGGCCAGATGTGAATTCTTGGTTGGAATTTCTTTTATTTAAGAATGTTCAGTGCTGGCCCTCAATCTCTTCTGCCTTGTGGGTTTTCTGCTGAGCAATCCACTGTTAGTCTGATGGGCTTCCGTTTGTAGGTGACTTGACCTTTCTCTCTAGCTCCCTTCAACATACTGTTTTTTCATTTTGACCTTGGAGAATCTGATGACTATGTGTCTTGGGCATAATCTTCTTTGAAGTATCTTACTGGAGTTCTCTCCATTTCCTGAATTTGAATGTTGGCCTGTCTAGCTAGGTTGGGGACGTTCTCATGGATAATATCCTGCAGTATGTTTTCCAAGTTGCTCACACTCTCTCCATCTCTTTCAGAGACACCAATGAATCATATATTTGATCTCTTTACATAATTCCACATTTCTTGTAGATTTTGTTTGTCCCTTTTCATTCTTTTTTCTCTATTCTCTTGTCTGACTGTCTTATTTCAGAAAGCCTGAAATTCTTTCCTGAGCTTGGTCTATTCTGATATTAACACTTGTGATTATATTATGAAATTCTTGCAGTGTGTTTTTCAGCTCTATCAGGTTGTTATCAGGTTCTTTTCTATACTGGCTATTTTGTCTGTCTGTTCCCATATCATTTTGTTGTAATTCTTTGCTTTCTAGATTGAGTTTCAATGTACTCCTGCATCTCAACGATCTTTTTTTCTATCCATATTCTGGTTGCTATTTCTGTCATTTCACCCATCTCAGCCGAGTTCAGAACCTTTTTGGAAATGTAGTATGGTTGTTTGGAGGAAAGAAGGTACTCTGGCTTTTGGAATTGTCAGAGTTCTTGCAGTGGTTCTTTCTCATCTTTGTGGGCTTATGTTTCTTCATTGTTTGAAGTTGATGACCTTTGGATGTTTTTTCTTTTCTTTTATCCTATTTGTTGACCTTCAGGGTTTGATTGTAGTATAAGGTGGGTTTAGCTGACTGGCTTCACTTCTGGAAGATTTTAGGGGGTCAACGCTCAGCTCCCAACTCCTGGGCTGCATGCCCTAATTCTGGGGGACTTGTTTTGCGCTCCATCTTTGTTCTCTAGCTCCTCAAGGTTAGGAATACAATGTGCTGGGTTGGGGCTGAGGTAATCCTGGACTGCTGGTTTCCACACTGATGGGTGGTGACAGCAAAGCATTTCATAGTACGATAGCAGCGGAATCCATCCTTGCTTGCACATGCCAGCAGTGGTGGCAGTGACAGCGTGGCAAGGTGCACACTTGGCTTCCTTTTTAATTTTTAATTGTTTTAATTTTTATAAATTGAGGTGGTACATGCACAGGTTTGTTATATGGCTATATTGCCTAATGGTGAGGTTTAAGCTTCTAGTGTACCCATCACCTGAATAGTAAATATCATACTCAATAATTTTTCAACCCTGATCCCCCTTCCACCTTCCTCCCTTTGGAGTCCCCCTTGTGTATTATTTCCCTCTGTATGTCTTGTGTACCCATTATTGAGCTCTCATTTATAAGTTAGAGTATGCAGTATTTAATTTTCTGTTTTTAAGTTATTTCACTTAGGATAAGGGCCTCCACCTCTACCTGTGTTGCTACATAAGACAGAATTTCATTCTTTTCTATGGCTGCATAGTATTCCATGGTATATACACATCACATTTTTTAATGCAGTCATCCATCGATAAACACCTAGATTGATTACATGACCTTGCTACTGTGAATAGTGCTGCAATAAATATACAAGTGCAGGTGTCTTTTTGGATTAAAGACATAAATGTAAGATCTGAAACTATAAAAATTCCCAGAAGAAAACCTAGGAAATCCTCTTCTGGACATTGGCTGATGCAAAGGATTTATGAATAAGGCCTCAAAAGTAAATGCAGCAAAAACAAGCATAGAAAAATGAGACTTAAAGAGATTATGTGGAGCAAAGAAATGATCAACAGAATAAGCAGACAACCTACAGAATGGGGGAAAATATTTACAAACTATGCATTTAACAAAGGAGTAATATCCAGAATCTGCGAAGAACTCTAACAACAGGAAAAAAAAAACCTAACAACCTCTTTACAAAGTGGGCAGAGGACATGAACAGACATTTCTCAAAAGAAGACATACGAGCAGCCAACAAACATTAAAAAATGCTCCACATCACTAATCATAAGAGAAATGCAAATTAAAACCACAGTGAGACACCATCTCACACCAGCCAGAATGGCTATTATTAAAAAGCCAGAAAAAAATAGATATTGGTTGAGTGTGCAGAGAAAAGGGAATACTTACACACTGCTGGTGGGAATATAAATTAATACAATGTCTGCAAAACAATATTGAGATTTCTCAAAGAACTAAAATTAAAACTATTAGACCCAGCCTCCCCACTACTGGGTATCTACCCAAAGGAAAAGAAATAATTATATCTAAAACAACTTCTAAATTAATTAAATATTAAATAGTTTTAAGAAAACAGAACTAGAGAAAATTAGAAAAACTCACTGGAAAATGTTTCATAATCTCAGAATTAAAGATATTTTAAATATGACACAAAACTCAGGAGTATAAAAGAAAAGATTGATAAACTAATAAAAAATTAAAATTTTGCATAGCAAAATCTACTATAGTCAAAAACAGGGTAAATGGAAAATTGAGAGAGACCTTTGCAACTTATATCACAAAGGACTCATTTATGTTGAACTGTACCTAATAAGAGTAATGCAACGAAACTGCTCTGAGATAAATTAACCCTTATCAGATTGGCAAAGATTGAAAAGTTTGATAATACATGTTTAGGTAAGGAAGGGTAAAAAAAATGGCCCCTGTCATTCAGCCACTTTGCAAGGCAATTTGACAGTATGTTTCAAAACTAAAAGTATACATAATCGCAGTCTGGCACTTTCACTTCAAAAACTTTATCAAACGTTTATGCTCAAAAAGATAAATTGACATGAGTGAAGTTGATTCTTTGCAACATTTTTTTCTAATAGCAAATGATTAGAAACAAATGTAATTTAATGGGGAACTGGTTAAATAAGTTGCAGTACATACACCATGCAATTGTAGTGCACATACCATAGAACGACATAGAATAATAAAATATGAAAAAAGAAAAAGAGAAGTGGGTAAGTATGAGAAGAAAACATAAGTGAAAATTTGGAGAAAATAGATAAAACAGCATGAGTGGGGAGATTGGCAGGAACTCTGCTAGAATTGGATACTTTTTCCAATTCATGTTTTTTGTCAACAGAGGAAAGTGCCATTTAAATATTTAATGGATTCATGTATTTTCTTTCACTCCAACATTTGTTTGCTTGGCTTCCCTTCCTCCTCCAGTGACGAAACAAATGGCACAATAAGGTTTGACACACAAAGAAAGAAAAACAGACTGTTTTCAGCCTTAGAGAGTTTGTTAGATAGCCAGCTTATAGCATGGATTCCACCAAGATATAAATATGTGGCAAAGGATTATTTCAGCTGTCTGTGGTATCACAGAGAAGTCGAATATTAGATATTATTTACAATGTGTTTTACTGTATTTTTGTAAGGAAAATATCATTTCCTGTTTGCTAACACCTTATTCTTTCTTGATCCAAAAGCAATAGATGCATGCCTTTGTAATTCAGTTGATCTGGTAAAGATATGAACAAACCAAAATTCCCATTTGTTTACTACTTTCTAAAATAAACAGTTGGTAGCACACTTCAACTACTAGAGAAGTTGTAAGAGTGGCTTGTAGAAAATAAAAAAGACCAAGCTGGCATCTCTTAAATCAAATAGTGCTCTGTTCAATGGTAACAGAAACTAAGACAGTAGATAAAATGTCTAAGAGTTTATGGTCACCTACAGATGTTGATATAAAACTAGGTTTATAAAACCAATCTACAAACTGTAGATTAAAAAAATTATATTGGCTGGGTGCGGTGGCTCATGCCTATAATCCCAGCACTTCGGGAGGCCAAGGCGGGTGGATCACAGGAGGTGGGGAGTTCGCGACCAGCCTGACCAACATGGAGAAATCCAGTATCTACTAAAAATACAAAAATTAGCCAGGTGTGGTGGTGCATGCCTGTAATCCCAGCTATTTGAGTGGCTGAGGCAGGAGAGTTGCTTGAACCCGGGAGGTGGAGGTTGCAGTGAGCCAAGATCGTGCCACTGCACTCCAGCCTGGGCAACAAGTGTGAAACTCCGTGTCAAAAAAAAAAAAAAAAAGATACCAAATTCTGCATTAGTTTTCTGGGGTGTTAGGACTTCAGTATATATTTTGAGATATACACAATTGAATCCATAACAGTTCACCTCTGGCCCCGCAAAATTTGGGTCCTGCATATATTCACCCTATCCCAACATCCCAAACAGCCTTCAACATTCCGGCATCAACTCTCATCTAAATATCATCAACTTGAAGTTCTAAATCTCTTCATCTAAATTATCCAAATCAGTTATCAGTGAGACTCAGGGTATGGCTTTTTCTGGGGCAAATGGTTCAGTTTACCAATAAAATTTATGAAGATAATCTGGTTTATAAAACATCTGTGTCCAAAGATCAAATGTACACATTAGCAAAATCTGAGGGTAAAAATTATTCTTAAAATCATGAGTCCTTAGAAACAATTTCAAGCCTAAAATCTAGAGGTGAAAGCCTATCATCTTAGAGTTTTCTGAAGCCATTTTTACTTCCATTAAGCTAACCATAAGGTTTCATTTGTATAATAATGAGAAATTTTCAATCTGTCTATCACACAGCAAAACCCAATGTAAACTGAACACTACCCATTGAATCCCATTACAGATTACTTATACAGAAAACATTCCACTTTTTAAAAGAATATTCATGAATATCATATATGACACTAGTGTTCAGTAGAACATAATTTGAGAAATATTTTTTAATGTCTTCAGCCGTTACTGCTCCGTAACTGGTTTGTTTTCAGTCTTACATGAGTTAGAATCAAATAATGTTAGTGCTCCCTAATAGATCACATGCTCCTTTTTACAAATGCTTATGCTGAAATCCAGCGTACCCCATCAGTTACGTAGGATCATGGAGAGGGATGTACTTATAGTCTCTAAATTGCCTCCATATCGGTAAGAAAAGCTTCGGAGTCAAGAGACTAGAAATAGGATGCTAATGTCAGAAATGTGGAAGGGAATTCAAAGGGAGAGTTTGAATATCCAGCTGGACAATGAGCAGACCATATATTATAACAGAACTCTGACCTGCAACCTCTGCAGCAATCAAATTCAGTCAGAATTTAGTCAGAATTTAATCAAGGATTGAGAGCTTCCCTATTTTTATCCCTGTTCCCAACCCAGCTCCAATCAGGTAAGGCTGGATATACTCCTCACAACAAACACATAAGATGCCCCCTCCTAGTTGCCATCTCCGGCTTCTCCATATCAACAAATTTCAGTCAGAGGATATCTGAAGAGTTCTCTTTTTTTTCCCTCACCATAAAGCCTCCCCATTCCTCTTCCTGCCTTTGAATCTCTGTTCTATGCAGGTGATGGTGGCTGACTCCTATGTGACAGCATGCTTGAAATAAATAGCATTCGCTTCTTCTCATTTGGGTTATCTTCATTTATTTCCAGAAAAGGTAGCAGCACTTTACCTTAAAAGCAGGAGAAAATAGCTCAGATAAAAATCCAAGCCTGGAACCATTTACTCTTGAGTGCAGCAAAACACAGCTCCCCTATATAGGTGAGTAGTGTTTTCTCTAAATAGTTGCAATATATTAATATAATGTGCGATATCACTAAACCAGAAGAATCTTATTTTTCTATGTGTTCCGCAAAGAACATACTGAAAAGGCAATTAAAGCTATTGAAAGCATAGAGGGTGCTAATTAATCTTTACTTGTTATTTATTCGCTGTCTGGAAGATGAAGGATGATTATAGTTGAGGTGTGGCAGGCCAAATCCCATTCGTACTTAAATAAACCAAATGACCCAGAGTAGTACCATAAATTTCAAAATTCCCACTGCAGCCAAATATGCCATCTCCTAGAATTACATTCTTAAGTAAGCCCTAAAATTTTAGAAAGAATGCATGAACTCTATATTTAAACTAGTCAGAATCATGCATCATATTTATGCACTGGAAACTCTGAGCTCAGTTCAGACACAACATACCTCACCCTAGAAATACAAAGTAACATGGAAAATGACATACTGATAACACTTCAGTAGCAGCTAAAAACTGGCTCACATCAGCACATTTTTATTTTAATGTGTTCAAGTCTGTACATGAATTTCCCTAGGCAAATTTCTTTAGGTGTATTGCTTCTTGTTTGAAGAGTTAAAAAAAAAAAAAAAAAAAAAGAAACAACTGTTGATTCCGTAATTGGTCACTATCAATTATTTCACCAGAATTACCATACAGTTAAGAGAATTAACTTAAGGTAAAATAGCCAAGGCCTTAACAACAAAATACCTGGGCAAAAAAATGCATAGGAGGTAATCTCTGCTTTGTAATCTCAATGTGCATATATTTCACATTATACGTAACACTTCAAGGCACTTATTTGTATGTATGTTCTGTTTTCCTCTAATGGACCTTAATTTCCTTAAGAATAAGAGCAGTGTCTTTAATAGAGTCTTAGCCTGAGTATCTCAGCATCTTGTTGCCAGTCTGATATAGTTTGGCTGTTCCTCACCCAAATCTCATCACAAATTGTAGCTCCCATAATTCCTTCATGTTGTGGGAGGGACCTGGTGGGAGGTAATTGAATCATTGGGACAGGTCTTTCCACAATGCTGTTCTTGTGACAATGAATAAGTCTCACAAAAATATGATGGTTTTCTAAAGGAGAGTTCCCCTGCACACGTCCTCTTGCCTGCCACCATGTAAGACGTGCCTTACTCCTCCTTTGCCTTCCACCATGATTGTGAGGTCTCCCCAGCCATGTGGAACTGTAAGTCCAGTAAACCTCTTTTTCTTTATAAATTACCCAGCCTCAGGTATGTCTTTATCAGCAGCATGAGAACTAACACACAGCCTAAAACATAGTAGGTACTTAATAAATGCAGAATGGGTGAATAAAATTGTCATTGGCCATTACTTCCCACCCTTGGCACTGACCATAATTTCTGGCAGTAAATATCAGGAGCACCTGAAAGGACATAATAGCATGGTCATAGGAGATGGTTCAAAGCTGAGTTACTACTCTGATATATATAACCTTTGAAAATTTAAATGAATCAACAATAAAGAGGTTGACTTTTGTCTCAAGTGTCTAGTTTATATAGAGAGTCAATCTTATGGTCAATGAAGGGAGGAAAGCACTGTAACTGAATTTCACCAACAGATACTGAAACTTTTCAGTCCAATTAAAAAGAGGCAGGAAATGCTATACCTTGGGAGAACTGACAGGTTGGCTTAAATTTGTGATGGGAATTCTGTGATAGTTATATAAAAAAGACATAGGACAGTGAACATCTTCATAGGTTTTTTTTATTACACTTTAAGTTTTAGGGTACATGTGCACAACGTGCAGGTTAGTTACATATGTGTACATGTTGGTGTGCTGCACCCATTAACTCGTCATTTAACATTAGGTATATCTCCTAATGCTATCCGTCCCCCTTCCCCCCACCCCACAACAGGCCCCAGTGTGTGATGTTCCCCTTCCTGTGTCCATGTGTTCTCATTGTTCAGTTCCCACCTATGAGTGAGAACATGCAGTGTTTGGTTTTTTGTCCTTGCGATAGTTTGCTGAGCAGCCATAAAAAATGATGAGTTCATGTCCTTTGTGGGGACATGGATGAAGCTGGAAACCATCTTTATAGATTTTTAAGAGTCCTAGCACCAAGTTTGTATATATTAAGCCCATCAGTTGATATTCATACCTTGCCAATGGAGTTGCCTGTTTTAGGAAAACATCCCTGAGTGTTTGGTTTATTTGCATTCTATGTATAAATAGACATTGAAAGTATCCTACTGGGAAGACTGTGGAGTGATTCATGCATCAGGTAATAATCGGATATTAATAATCAATAACAAGATATCTTCCACTTCTGTGACTAGTTAGTTCTATGATACAATGCAGTGATTCTCAGTTTAGTTCTGCCGTGAATAAGGGCCACTCTGCACTTACTGGGCCTCATCTTCTTCCTCCTTCTAAAATGCAGCTTAGCTGTAGTTGATTGCTAAAACATTTTCTTGCTTAAAAATTTAAAAAATTTTTTGAGAACCAAAACCTTTTTAAATGATAGAAGACACTGCTTCTTGCATATGTTTTCTCAATGCTTTATTCAATTTAGGAAAGGCATCATATTCCATTTCAGATCATACTATCCGTTAGCGGAAACTACACTAATAAATAATGCTTTACGGAAGAGATTTGTAGCAGAAAAATTCTTGTTATTTACTGCTCATATACCAATAAGACAGGTGTTATCGTTAACTCACTGAACTTGCCAGTCTCTGTTTGATTTAGTTGCAGGATTAAGAACATGATTTCAACACTGATATTTTAGTTCCAATTGATAACTCCTTTGTAAATAACAGGGGTGTTTATATCAAGTTTGCAATTATGTACAAACATTTTATATGGAGAAACTTTGTCAAAGACTTATTTTATACTCTAGATATTTTCTTAAAATTATTTAAACTCAGATTTTTATAAATCAAATACTTCAAATACATTATGGTATCTTTTATTTGGAAGAATCTACAATAATGAATAAATAAGACATTCCTAAATACTGACTTCAATATCTTGGAGGAAATTTAGGGAAACTTAGAGAAAGAAATGTTGCTTGACGGCTTTACCATTTTTATCTTAATGTAAAGTCATAGAATCATGGAAGTTTAAAGATGAGTGTGAGTTTTGAAATGAGGCAGTCCACAGTCTTTAATTCACATAAGACAAAACTGAGGTTATGGCTGCTTAATAAAAAGAAATAATGAAAACGACAAATTTGGACTTCACCAGAAAAGTAGGACTATGATAGAGCCTCCACTATTCAGGCTTTTGGGTAGCGCTCCGGAAAACTCATTCTGTTGACAGAGCTAGCATTAAACAGGATCAGAGGAACTGGTACAGGTTAAACTAACTTTTAAAAGACTGATACCATAAGCAAAAAGTCAATATGTTCATTTGAATTAAGTATTTTTAACTTTAAGGCAAACAGGAAAATCACACTGGTTGATCTGCTTGTCCTCTTCCTTTAGAAAAGAAAAAAATCTTTGATGGGGACAGTATTGTTAAGAGGATTTTAGTGGTCGGTATTATTGAGTTACGAGGGCCAATGAACCTGTCAGTGAACTTGACTATGTTATACAGATATGACTTCAATCCACTGCAAACAAGCTTTTGCCCCCAAATCTCCAACAAAACTGATACTGCGAAGGTCACTAAGAATCTTCTTATTGGTGTATGCAATGTTCAGTTCTCAGTTCTTATTTTATCACTTGACCTATCAGCAGCAGATGAGAGCTGATAATCCTTCCTCCTTGAAAGTCTTTTCCAGGACACCATTTTCCTGCTTTTCATACCTCACAGGATGCTCCTTCTCTGTCCCCTTTGCTGGTTCCTTATCTTTTCTAGGCCATCTTAACATGAATTCCCCAAAGCTCAATCCTTGGAAGCCTTCTCTTCTATATCTTCATTCACACCTTAGGGCAGTAATTCTAAAAGTGTGGTCCTCAGACCAGCAGCATCAGCAAGACCTGGAAACTTGCAAGAAATACAAATTTTCACATCCCTCCAAAGACCTAATTAATCAGAAACTCTGGGATAAGTGCTCAACAATCAGTTTTAACAAACACTGCAGGTAATTCTCTCGAATATTAAAGTTTGAAAGCCATCTCCCTAGGGGACCTTATGGAGTCTAAACTATTAATAATACCATCTGTAAAGTGCAAACTCTATTTTTTTAAAATATGTAGCCTAGTCTCTTCCTTATGAAGTCTACATTTTTATATCTTCTGCTAATTTGATCTCTCCACTTGAATAGTCAATAAGCATTTCAACCATTACATGTCAAAGCTAAAGTTTTGACAGTTCACCCGTTTTTTTCTATTTGTAGCGTTTTCAATTTCAGTTAATGACTAAACCTTCCTTCCTATTGCTCAAGCCAAAATTTTAGCATTATATTGGTATCTCACTTTCTTTCCTACTCAGTATCTGATTCACCAGAAACTTCTGCTGGATTTTAAGGGCATCTAGAAAATGGCTACATCTTATTACTCGCAGTGCTACCAGCCTTATCAAATCATCATCATCTTTTACCTGGAGATGTGCAACGGCATCCCAAGAGGTCACCCTCTTTACCTGTCTATAGTCTAATTTCAACAGAGCAACTAGAATGGTGGTTTTAAAACAGAATTTGGGAATTTAGTTGCACTTTGATGGTGTTAGTCCACAAAATCCAATCCTTTTGCTAATTACAATAAAAATTTGTGAACAAAACACAAACAAACAAGTATATAAAAGGAAATTACCCATATCTGTGGGCTCTCTAAGGCAAATAAAAGGGGGCAGATTGTGAAGGAAAGTCAAAACTTAGAGAAGGAACCTGGCTTAGGGTGTTTGCTTTTATGGTTTTTGACTCAATGAGAGGTTTTAGTCACAGAGGAGAACATCAGCATTGGTAGATAAAACTCCTAAAAAAAAAAACCCTCATCTTTTTGGGAGAGTAAGGGGGAAATCTTATAGTGGGGTAAAAAAGCAGAAGAAAGGCTAGCTTAATTCTGTGTAGGAATCAGTATAAGGCTGAGATTGGAAAGAAAAAAATCTTGAAGAAATCATAGCAGTAAACTTCCAAATCATCGGAAAGACATAAATTTACACATCAGCAAACCACAAACAGGACTACTCCCCAATCCAAAAAAAAAAAAAAAATGCCTAGATACATTAAAATCAATCTGCTAAAATCCAGAGATAAAATAATCTCAAATGCTACTAGCAAAAAGAGACATATTACAAACAGGGAAACAATGATTTAAATGACTAGAATTTCTCATCTGCAATCATGAAGGCCAGAAAACAGTGAACACCTTTAAACTACAGTAAGAAAATAACTGTCAACCCAGAATTATATATACATCATAAACATTTTTCAGATATGAAGGCAAAATAAAGTTATTTTAAGATGAGGGAAAACTAAGAGACTTCTTCACTAGCAGATTTACTCTACAAAAAATGCTAAAGAAAATTTTCAAGTTGAAGAGAAATAATGTCAGAGAGAAATCTGGAAACAGAAATGTTTTGTTAAGAGTAACAAAAGTGGCAAATAGCTGGGCACACCTAAAACTCAATTTTTACCTCTTTATATTATACTTACATTATCTATTACATCTACATACATTGCAACCTCACAAGGTAATGTTATGATTTTGATTTTAAAGAGGCATACATATTTTAAAAAACATAAGAGGGAAAAGTTGAATTTGTTATCTAAAGCCTTTCCAAAATAAAATTCCAAGGTAGCTAGTTTCAATAATCAAAGAAGAAATAACACTAATCTCACAGAAAATTTTTCAGAAAATAGGAAGAGTGCAATTACTACTTAACTCCTTTTGAAAGGCCAGCATAATGCCAATACCGAAATCAGAAAGTGATGTCATGGTAAAATAATTACAGAGGCTGGCTGCCGTGGCTCACGCCTGTAATCCCAGCACGTTGGGAGGCTGAGGTGGGCCGATCATGAGGTCAAGAGATCGAGACCATCCTGGCCAAGATGGTGAAACCCCATCTCTACTAAAAATACAAAAATTAGCTGGGCGTGGTGGTGTGCACCTGTAGTTCCAGCTTATCAGGAGGCTGAGGCAGGAGAATCGCTTGATCGCTTGAACCTGGTAAGTGGAGGTTGCAGTGAGCCAAGATCGCGCCACTGCACTCCAGCTTGGCGACAGAGCAAGAATCTGTCTCAAAAAAAAAAAAAAAAAAAAGAATTACAGATCAATATCTTTCATGAATATACAGGCAGAAATTCTTAACAAAATATTACCAAGTTGAATCCAACAATATATAAGAAGCATAATACATTATGAATAAGTAGTGTTTAAAGAATGCAAGGTTCATTTATCAGTCAATCAGAATTTATGAAGGTACTTTAACATATTAACAGAATAAAGAAGTGGGATATGATCATTTCAGTAGATGCAGAAAAAGCATTTGATAATATTGAACAGCAATTCATAACAAAAATCTCAGCAAACTAGGAACAGTTCAAATTGATAAAGTACGTATAAGAAAAACATGTAGTCAGCATAATAATTGACAACATAATAACTGCCTTTAATCTGGGGATATGCCTGAGATTAGACCATATGACTAACAAGAATGTTTGAAAAACATATAATAAATGAAAAAACAATAGGACAAGAAGGGAAGATCCCACTTCTGTCTTTTATCATAAATACGCCCAAGTTCTAGAAAATTTCAGCCTTTCTAGAATGCCCACATTGTGAGTTCTGAATTTGAAGAGCATCACAGTAGCTTCTGTAACCATTTTGCATCATCTTTCTACAAGAGATATTGTAACATTACTAAGTCAAGTCGCACTCAGTGAATGAAAGTTTCATTAACTTTTAATTCTATATACTTTGCAAGGCATCAAAAGACTTACAAGTATAAGAAACTTCACCACCATATTACAAGAGATTATTTGCTAGTATGAAAACAAAGGAGTTGATGGAGTCACCAGATTGTGAGAAGTCAGGGGGACAGTCTAGTAGACATGACTGTGACAGTTAAAAATGAGGTCTGAAACTCAGGAAATTTTCAGATGTAAATATAAATTAGGAATGATCTGCATAGAGGTAATGGTGGAGAAGGATGAGGTGATGGAGAGAAAGTAGTATAGAAAATTCAATAAAACCAAGATGATTGGAAGAGTAGGCAGAGTTGGAAGAGTGAAATATTTCATTAGTATTTTAATTCTGTAAAATTAAAGTATAAGAACAAGAAGTAACAAATATGTTAAATGGTGCACAATGGAGACAGGGTTTGAGATTAATTAAAGGTGATAGTTGATGTGCAGTCTACTACCATTACATCTAGAAAAATGCTAAATCACATGCAAACGTAAACATCCAGAAAACCATCTATGACTCGTGGTGATGGAGAATGAAAAAATAAGCACTAGAATCAAGAATGCTGTGAATTTTCTCCAGATAAAATAATTTTTTTTTTCTTGTAGAGACAGGGGTCTCACTCTGTTGCCCAGGCTGGTCTCAAACTCCTGGCCTCAAGTGATCCTCCTGCCTCAGCCTCCCAAGGCACCAGGAGTATAGGTGTGAACCACTGCACGAGACCCACAAGGAATGAATTTGTCAATATTGACTTGTCTTATTACAAGGACAAGGTGAACATTGCAAATATTTCAATACAGCCTTCACCATTAAATTAGCAACGAAACAAAAACCAGAATGACTAATGTATGATTTTCCTGAGTAGGGGCAGCAGCAATCTAGTTCATATTTGTAACAGAAGCAAGTACATGAGTATTTAGTTCTTAAAAGAATAAGTCATTTGAAGCATACCTCCCAGTCATAGGACATAATTATGATTGTCCTTCATTTGTAAAAATTTAAAAAGTGAAATAGTGTCATTTATACCATTATGCTTAAAAACCCTGTTCTGATCCTCCGTGTCAGTCACAGAGGATTTGAGAAATAAAAGATTTCTCTACTCTTTAGAAGTGCATTTTTAATCACCTGTCTAATGCAGTGGCTGAGTGGAAAGAATGAGTGAAATGACAAAATTCAAGCTGTACAATCAACAGATCTAAGAACACTCAATTTTGCCCATTCTGTGAAAATTAAAAATAGAGTACATTTGAAGGCGTCTTAAAAGAGGCAAATGAAAGTACAATAATAATTTATACAGAAAAGTCAGCTCTAAGGAAAAAGCTGAAAAGCTGTTTGAAAAGGATTTCTATTGAAGTCCCACAATGTTATGTGAAATCTTTACATGGTATTTGCTTCTGAATACACGCTCTCTCCATCACTAAAAAAAGAATGATGACTATCATGTGTCAATTTTTTCTTAATGTAACGACTGAGAATGGAAAACTTTTAAAAAGTTTGTCTTGACATCATCCCCTGACAGAATATCCTAATAATCTCAGTATTTCCACTTCAGATTCAACTTGTCTAATCTTATCTCTGCTCTTCTCCAAGGTCCTAGAATTTAAACCTGAAATTTTATTTTCATCTTGACTGCTACTTGTTCTTCCTTTCTCTCCTTCATCACAGTCTCTCCAGCTTCCTCCTTTTTTCCATTCCTAGAGTCACCGGTATAAGTCAGGGGCTTTTGACCTGACTCTGGGATCATTGAAGTCTGTGGGATTTCTCTTCCTCTTATCT
Organism: Homo sapiens; assembly: GCF_000001405.40. NCBI lineage: Eukaryota > Metazoa > Chordata > Mammalia > Primates > Hominidae > Homo > Homo sapiens. The sequence goes on along the minus strand of NC_000008.11, from coordinate 15,817,889 downwards.
TGCCCCAATTCACTTTAGCACTCAAAGGTGGAGTTCCTTAGAAGCATATCGTGACACATAGTTTGGGGACAAGATCTTTACTAGGACCAACACTTGTGTATTAGTCTGCTGTCACACTGCTAATAAAGACATACCCAAGACTGGGTAATTTATAAAGGAAAGGGGTTTAATTGACTCACAGTTCTACAGGGCTTGGGAGGCCTTGGGCAACTTATAATCATGGTGGAAGGGGAAGCAAACATGTCCTTCTTCACATGATGGCAGCAAGAAGTGCAGAGCAGAGGTGGAGGGGAAACCACCTTATAAAACCATCAGATCTCATGAGAACTCACTGTCACGGGAACAGCATGGAGGTAACCACCCCCATGATTCAATTACCTCCCACGAGGTCCCTCCACAACACATGGGGATTACAGGAACTACAATTCAGGATGAGATTTAGGTGGAGACCAAGCCAAACCACATTTGTTTTATATGTTTGCTTAAGTGTACCACATAGTTACCCTTTGAGCATGTGCATTTCAAGCCTTCTTTTTTTTTTCAAGTCTTAATTTCTTTCTTCTCTGGTTGTTCAGAAATCAAAGTTCTAAGGTGGTGGAGAGAGTAAGTGGGACAGCCACCACATACCATGAAGAACCTAAATATGGATTGATAGTTTCACAGCTGTGCTTATTTATTTCACTACGTTGTGCTTTCAAATAACAGAGAAAAACCTACCTGAGTTTTTAAAAAAGAGAAACATCATTGGTGCCTTCATTAATAGGAGTAGTCTGCAGTGACTGATGGTCCCTTTTAGATAACGACCAGACTGTACGGAAATTACTGCTGGAGTTAACATGATTTTTTTTTAAAAAGCAAGTTCCAAATTACTAATCAGTAACTTCAGTTTCTGGCCTTCACATCTTATATTTTATCCTGCAACAAAATAAAGGAAGGACATTTTGGAGTGGCAAAAATAGAAATAATGAATTTACTTTTTCTCTTTCATGAGAAACATTGGGGAGCTGGTTCTGCTAGGCGCTATGAACTCCAATGCTGCTATCAGCACATACTTGGTTTAAACTGTTATTGGAAGTTACTTACATTGTATCATTTGTATGACGTTGAATTATGTGCTAGGTGTAAAAACATGCCGTTTCTCTGTGAGGGCTGTTTGGTTATTGGAAAAGGTGTAATTTGAGAGCATGTGAATGTCTTTTGTTCTAGGTACTAAAAACAAAAACGTAGTTAAAAACCTTGCCCTAAAAGCTTGTAATGAATGAACTGGTAGTTTGGGCAACATCGTCTTACGAATTAAGTCTTCGAATAGGTTGACCCAATAAAGTCCAGAAATTCCCAGGGATAGAAGAGTCACCCTTTCCACTACTCATTGCTGGCAGTCACCTATGCCAGGATGCTTCAAATATCTTTCTTGTCCCATAATATCTTTTTTCTTAATGTATTGTCAAGAGTTTTACTATCAGAATTATTAATAAATGGCCTAAATTGGGAATTTGTTCTCAGGAGAATAGTGAAAATGCCTACATTGCCACCCCTTCCATTATTTCCTCAGTATTTTAATACTCACAGATTATACTCATGCAATGGATGGCCCAACTCAAAGAATGAGCCTTTCCACTATCCCCTCTGCAAACCCATCTCCAGTTCTCTTCATTATCTAAATCTCTTGAGATAATTTAGGAATCTGACTCATTAATAAAGACAGCCAAAGACAGAGCCTTATAGAAGCTCCTAAACCTCCCTCCAGGTTACATTTGTCCAAAGACAGTTGCTAACTGGGGAAAGAGGGTCATCCATCTTAACTGCCATTCATGTTGAATGCTCACACAATACACTGGGTAAACTGCCTCACTGAAATTTGGATTTAATATATCTAGTACCTCTTCCTCCTTCTTCTGACAACCCTGCCAGAAAAAGCAATTAGGTTTGTCCCATTAATTGCTACTTATGGGCCCTCGTTGGCACTTACAGAGAACTTCTACTGTATTAATTGTTCTGTATGATAATTTATTCTGGAATTTTCCCTGGAAACAATGCCAACTTTGCAATTCTGTAGTTTGTAGCTCTCACCTTTAGAAAACATTTAGTGATACTGTCTGCAAGTTCTCTAATAAGGGACTAAAATGTAATTTATCTGAATCAAGAGATTTGAACTCATTGTTCAAAGGACAAGAAAAGAAGAGACAGAATGCCATAAGAGATGGGAATTGCTGAACATTAGAAAGTCAGAGCTCTGTCTAACGTTTGCCCTGGGAATAGGTAAAGATTGCGCTGCAGAGATCGCTGACAGATGCTTCTGTTTCCAGGTCTAATTACTCTTCCTCTGTCTCTCCTTTCTCTGCATGAATTTCTCCTACATATTGTTTTGGCTTGAGCTTTATCCTATTCCTGGCCCACTGGAGAAGTTTTAATAACTCCTAATAGTCTCCTGTATTCAATGAAAGCACATCTACTTCTTAAGAGTCTGTAAAATCTGACTCAATTTTTAAGACTAAATATCACTTATTATATTCCCCAGGGACTCCAGCTGACTCAGGATGCTGATTTCCTACTATCTTTCCCTATCCTGCCCCCCAAGAACCTTCCATGATTATGTCTATAGATTTGTTCCTGCTCTTCCCATTAGAATTCCCTTCGATCTCTCTATTAATAGTCTATCTATCTTTCATATCCACCTCGTGCAATACCTTCCTTGAAGTCTTGCAGTCACTTGCCTTCTAACATTTTTATGTACAAGTATTTACTAGCAGTTTATTATTCAATTAATACATTTTATTACACTACATTGTCTCATTACTTATATCTCATTACTTATATACTACATTGTCTCATTACTTATATCTCGTTACTTATATCCTTTAAAAACATTTAATTTGTGTCTGTGTGTATCTTGTTTCATGTTGTATTTTCCTATCAACTAAACAACAAACAATTTGTTGTAGCCAACATGTTTTATATTTCTCCCGTACTCAGCAACATTTAGCATGCAAGGAACTTTACTATGAAGTATACAGTAGGCAATCAACATTTATATACTTGAATCCTGGATCACCTGGTTTTCAGCCTATGGCAAGATATTCATGAATATTTTTGTGCAGTAGGTTATTTCACAAGATTCCACACTTCAAAAATATTTAATATTGGTAAATCTCTAAGTCCACAGGTCAGCTGAAGTTTTTCATTTGCGCAAAAGAAAAACTCTGGGTAAGGCAACTCTTTAGATAATAGAAACAAATATAAAAGACTAATATTATGCGGGTATTTGTGTGTGAACATAAATATATATTTTTCATTCAACTCCTGAGCAAAGAGACATTTGTGAACTTAAGCAAATTCAATCACCTAAAGTGCAGTAGCACAAAATTCCTAGAAAATGTACTAATTGTTGAATCAAATGTATACATATTGGCAACGCATTGCGTTGGAGTAGCTTAAAATCAGGCATCTATGTTTACATCTTAGTAGATTGAAAACTGCATCTCCTTCACTTCTCTATTAGTGACTCATATTCAAATATGATTTTTTTCCTGCAAGAAGTCAGGTAATGCAAAAATATAAATTTATTTTGGTGCGCTTATGTCTTCCTCCTTCTAGAAAAAAGATATTGTTACTGTTTTATCATGGAACTTAGTAGGAAGACCACACACACACACATACACTCAATCACAGAAAGACTGAATATAACTACAGGTAAGTCAAACATTAAATTGAGTTCTTAATCTCTTCATTCTGGTAAGAGAAACCTGCTGATGCTATGTGAGACTATGTCACAACAATGTGTAAATTATTTAAATGAAGTTTCCAAGATACAGATAAATAATACAGAAGTACTCTACATCCAGGCAGTGTTCTAAGTATTTAATGGCTATTAGCTTGTTTAGTCCTCACAATTACCCAGTGAGGTAGATGCTATCATTTTGAAGAAACAGACACACAGAGGTTAAGTGACTTGCTCAATGTCGCAAACTTAGTAACGGTGGAGCTAGATGTTAGACTCAAGCAGACTGGCTGTGAAGACTGTGATCTTCACCACTTCATCCCACTGCCTCAACGTAATACTTCGATGGTTAGCACTAAGACTGAATGATTGAAGAATGACACTGAATGGCTAAAAAAAAAACCTCTTTCACATGAGGGTTAATAAGCTATCTTGATCCATCCCAAGAGTGTAAAGACAGAAGGAGCTCAATGCAAACTTGTTGAGTTAAAATGATTACATTTCCCCACATTATATTTTATAGATTAATATATAAAAATGACACATTTCTTAGAATCATATACATTCTTAACATTTCTTATCATTTTTATTCTAGAATAAAATGTGCCTTAAAATTTACAGTATCTTCCCATTGCTGTCATCAAGTTGTAAGGTGGTTATGATTACCTCGTACTTTCTAGTAAGCTCAGGAAAGAACCAGTATCAGAACTTACAGGATGGTATTACAAGCTTAGAAGAAAACCCCAGAGATGGCAGAGACAGGTGTGCCTGTTTTTTTTTTTGTTTGTTTGTTTGTTTCAGAAATGCTACATCACCAATACTCTTAATGGTACAGAGGACTCAGCTGCCTTGAGTTGAAAGTTATTTCAGGGGAGTCAGACTTCCAATTGGAAGAACTTTCAGAAACATTTTAATCAGTCTAGTTCCACACTGCATTTTACTTGGCTGATTACACAGTGTCTACATCTAAGTGAAATTCTCCAGCAAATATAAAATGTAAATCCCCAATGATACAAAAGCATTGTGTCCTGGATCAATGGCAGCATTTTTTCCTTTCTTATTTTTTTTGTCTTTTTTTGAGACGTGGTCTTACTCTGTTGTCCAGGCCGCAGTGCAGTGGCGCGATCTCAGCTCACTGCATCCTCTGCTTCCCAGGTTCAAGCGATTCTTGTGCCTCAGCCTCCTGAGTAGCTGGGACTACAGTCACATGCCACCACGCCCAGCTAATTTTTATATTTTTAGTAGAGATGGGGTTTCGCCATATTGGCCAGGCTGGTCTTGAACTCTTGACCTTGTGATCTGCCCTCCTTGGCCTCCCAAAGTGCTGGGATTACAGGCGTGAACCAACACACCCAGCCCATTTTTTTCTTTCTTCATATGATATAAAATCATGGTATATGTTACATTCCGTGAGCTATTGGAATCAATGGAATAAGGCATATCATGTTGAAAAGATCTACACTCATGTACTATTAGCAATAGGTTTCTGTTCATTTTCCACTATAGGGAGTTTTCCAGACACCCACTGTCCTCCATCCCCAGTAAGCTGCCTTTTTTGGGACAAGTGGCAGCCGTTGAGTTCAGACGGCCAGGAGTATATGTATTTGCTCAGTGAGAAATTAATTAAGGTAGATGAAACCTGTGACCTAATTGGTTGCAACCACGGCCATATTTTTACAGCAGTAACAAGTGTATATCTACCTATTGCTATGTCTGAGACTATTTCCTTCACAGGAAAATAGATATATTGAAATCAAAACCATTTTCTCAAAATTATGGTCCTGGTAGTTTTATCAATATGTGCACTTTCATATTTTGACTCCCATAGAAATAGTTAGAACGTACACAGACAACCTCCTGAATGTTACCTTCTCTAACACTTTCTAAATGTTTTCTGTTTGTGATTCTTTTGAACCTTTCAGTCTACAATCCTCTAGCTGTAGAAACAGATATTTTTACATTGAGTACTTATTTGTTTATAGGATTTATAGTCAAGGCAGCAAATACATTTCAACTTAAGATGCACTTTAATGCCTGCTGACAATACAATTAAAACGTCTCATCTAAGTTGGATGTCCCAAAAACCTTGACAAGAAAACCAATAAAAGTAGTCTTGCATCGTGTGTCCTATTTCTTTGGAGAATAAAAGGAATGCAGATTAATTCAATGACAAACCATGGGCAAAATATTTTAATTGATCGTCATCAAAGAGAACATAAAATCCTCCGTTCTTCAAATACTTATTACTGTTTTTTTTTCTTTTCTATTTTTAATCTTGCAAGAATCAGTGCCTGGAGAACTGGCTCGGCTATTTTATACAGGCTTTTGCTACTCAGACAAATGTGACAGCCCTCAAGGAAACTTAAAAATGTAATTAAGCCCCAGATGGTTCTTTTAACCTTTACTATATTATCAAAGCACTATAAGCTTTAAAATTTAAAAAGTCAATTTATCCTGCCACCTATTCACTTCCTTCACCCCTCTCCTCATTTGCCTTTTCCAAATTGAATTCATAGGTCAATTTTGATATTCACCTGTTCGCTCACATTCACTAATTCTTTGCCTTTCACTTGCTTCTTTGTGCCTGTTCTGCAAACCCCCAGTTCTGGTTGGATCCAGCTCTCTGCAAATACAGCTTGACTACTTTTCCCAGTCTCCTTGACAGCTGGCTGAAGCCCTGGGACTGATTTCTGGTCAGTGAAATGTCGGCAGAAAAGGTGGCAACTACCCCCGGGCTTGACCCCTAAACATCTGTGAAACTGTCTGGGTCTTTCTCTTATGATCGTGAAGGAATTTTGGTGGACTTCGAGGTTAGGAGTAGGGTGTGGAGGGGATGTAGTTATAGACACTTGATGTGGACAATTGACGATGTGAAGAGCGACTGCTACCCCTAAACCTCTTTGGAATGTGACAACAGAGAGGAAAACAAAAGCCTTCACTTTGTTATGTCTCTGAGATTTGGGAGCTGCTTGTTAGCTTCATTTGCTTACCCTAATCAATAGAATTAACACCAAGAATGGGTCCTTCAATGCTACAAGACAACCACGCGACATTTCCCAAGCATGTTCACACTCCTTGTCTCCTAAATGATTTTCTCATACGCTTCCCCCTTTTCTTTCCTTTCCTCACTCTCTGCTGATGAGCTTGCTTCTTATTTAACTCAGAAACTGGAAGTAATCTAAGGAGAATGTCTATAAGCTCCACACGATCATGTCTCCTTACTCACCCAGCATCTGCCTGGATGGGCCCTGCTTCCCTGGTGTCAGCGGTCCTGTCTAAGATGACTCTGTAGGTGTATATACTGGTAAATGTTGCGGATCTTTACGTCAGACTCTCAGCTCTTCTTTCCTGTATTTGGACAATGGAAGACCTTAACGGAGATTCTCTACAGATGCAAATCTCCCCTACAAAAGACAACTTTGCAGGGCGACTTCAATCTGCTGGCCATGTGGCAGCCGTCTCAAAATTTGTCAAAGAAATATATTTGGGGATAAAATATTTTGATTTTCTTTCCCGCCCCCCCTCCTTGGCCACAAGATAGGATCTTGCTCTGTTACCCAGCCTAGAGTGCAGTAGTGCCATCATGGCTCATTGCAGCCTTGACCTCCTGGGCTCAAGTGATCCTCCCACCTCAGCCTCCCAAGTAGCTGGGACCACAGGCGTGTGCCACCACACCCAGCTAAGTTTTTAATTATCTGTAGAGAGTACATCTCCCTATGTTGCCCAGGCTGCTCTCAAACTCCTGGGCTCAAGTGATCCTCCCACCTTAGCTTCCCAAAGTGCAGAGATTATAGACATACGCCACCATTCCTGGCCTTGATTTTCTTCCCCAGAGTATTCAACATCTCATATATAGTGAATTGGCAAGGAGGAAATATTTTAACATGCAGTACTCTAAGCCAGGGGTTCTTTAGCTACAAAGGGCAGCAGAATCACCTGAACGACCTATTAAATCATGGATTTCTGAGCCCCACCCCCAAATTTCTGATTCAGTTGTTCTGGAGTGGGACCTGAGAATTTACGTTTCCCCCAAGTCTGCAGGTGATACTTCTGCTGCTGGTCCAAGGACACACTATGAGAACCATTGTTTACGGCTTGCTACCAAAAGCGTGATCCCTGAACCAGCAGCACAGACATTATCCAACAGCATGTAAGAAATTCAGAATCTCTGTCTGTCTCAGAACTATTTAACTGGAACTTGCATTTTAACTAGGAGGTTTAACAAGGTGCATTCTCCAGGTAATTTGTATGCATATTAGAGTTTGAAAAGCATTAGGATTTTAAAAAATAGGAGGGATGTAGGACTGAATGTTTTCCTTAAGGCAAGGAGAAGTCTGGCATTGCCAAGTGTAAAGAAAGCCAAATGTTGAGAACTGTTAAGTAATATAATTACAGTCGTTCTTTTATCCGTGGTTGCACTTGCTACAGTTTTGGTTACCCTTGGTCACTGAAAATAGGTGAATACAGTACAATCAGATATTTTGAGACAGAGAGAGAAACTACATTCATAAAACTTTTATTACAGCATATTGTTATAATTATTCTGTTTTATTATTGTTGCTGCTGATCTCTTACTGTGCCTAATTGATAAACTAGACTTTCTTTTAAGTATATATGTATAGGAAAAACAACATATATAGGACTAGATACAATCTACAGTTTCAGGCATCTACAGGGGGGGTCTTGGAATGTATCCACCTCAAATAGGTGTAACACCAAAGCAGCAAAAAACTAACATAACTAACTTCATTTTTGTTTAAGGGACCTTTACCTATTCCCACAGATAGGCAAGGATAATTATAGAGCAGTGAGATCATACACAAAAACAGCAATCATGTAGTTTTTCAGAAAGAACTCTGAGTTTAAAGGACAAGTAACTATGTTTTGTTAAAGATTTATGGAAATACTGTGACCTGACCAGGGAAAAGAAGTTCCCAACATCCTCACACCCTCACTGGTGCCCAGATATCTGCAGTCATCAGTTACCTCTTGCCCTGAGCCCTCCATCTTCCTCCTGCCGTTGACATAAAAAGAGCCAAAAATTTGGAATGACTTAAGATGGTACTTTAGCATGATAGTGTGCCATCATCTGGGTTTGCTGGCTTTCTGAATAAACGTGCTTTTCCTCCCACCAACCCTTGTCTCTTGAGTTTGGCCTTTCAAGCAGTGAGGAGCCAAACTTGGGTTTAGTTACAGGGGTACTACTGTACATACTATACAAAATAGCTATAATTATATATATATCTTAATTATATGTGTGTGTGTATAATTTGTTTGTACTCTATAAATACATGTTATCTTTTTTTAAAAAAAGACAACCTGTGTAGGTTGAGGAGCTTCAGAATCCCTGGAAGCACAATTAGCAATCCAGGTGACCAAGAGCTCAGAATGAGGCAGAATTTCTAGGGTGGCAGCAGGCCAAAGCTAACACTGACTGACAGCTGAGCTTAGAAATTGTCAAAAATGGAGAAGCCACTGGGCAAATTGCCTGCTACATGTCTGGCACTCTTACTCCTGGGAACTATAAAAGACTTATGCTTGGGCTGCTTCTGTCTTCCATGTTCTTACCTTCGTGGAAGATGTAACGATGGCAGGTCTGAGAGTAGGAAAAGATGTTCGGTAAGAGAATAATTCTGGACAGTCTCATTAAAAGGCTGGAAGCAGAATTGGCCAACAAGAGATATATATTGAGAGAACTTTTCTAACCCCTTAAGCTTTCTTTGTCCAATATCAAAAACTCTCACTGATAGTAATAAAATGCAAAGGAATATTAAGAAAGTGTTACATAAGTAAATGTATCATTTTATCTCCTAGTGCTCTGGAGAGAGCATTTTTTAAACAATTATATTCTTTTTATGTTTAATATATTAAAATAACATTTAGTATTAAAATAATAACCAATATTTGAAACAAAAAGTCTTTGAAAAATTCTTAAGTTTCTTAAGGAACACATTATACCAGGTGAAAGAAGTTTGCTTAAAGATTGCAGGTAATTGTTACTCAAATCTTTTCTAATACTGGTCAGAAAACAAAGCTTCCCTAATCTCTACAATAAAATGATATGAGTACTGTAATAATATGTTCAAAAGCTAGTATATGTAGGATGCTTTAAAATTATACTAGCATAAAGTTTTTAAAAATAATTTCAACTTTCATTTTAGATTCAATAGAGGTACATATACAGGTATGTGACATGGTTATATCACACGATGCTAAGGTTGGGGATGCAAATGCTCTGTCCCCCAGATATAGAATGTAGTACCCAAAAGTTAGGTTTGCAACTCTTGCTTTCCTTCCTTCATCCGCATTCTGTGAGTCCCCAGTGTCTATTGTTGCCATATTTATGTTCATGAGTTCTCAATGTTTAGCTCCCACTTATAAATGAGAACATGCAGTATTTGTTTTTCTGTTCCTGTGTTAATTTGTTTGGGATAATGGCCTCCAGCTGCATCCACATTGCTGCAAAGGACATGCTTTTGTTCTTTTGTATGGTGTTTAGTAGTCCAACATGCATATGTACCACATTTTCTTTATCCAATCCACCACGGATGGGCACCCAGGTTAATTACTGTGCTATAGTAAACAGCACTGTTATGAACATAAAAGTATATGTCTTTTTGGGAGAACGATTTATTTTCCTTTGGATATATACTCAGTAGTGGGATTTCTGGGTCGAACGGTAGTTCTGTTTTACATTCTTTGAGACATTAAAAGCTTTAATTTCTTTGCTTTCCACAGTGGCTGAATCCATTTACATTCCCACCAACAGTGTATAAGCATTGCCTTCTCTCCACAGCCTTGTTTTGTTGTTGTTGTTGTGGTTGTTGACTTGTTTTGGTTTTGTTGATGATTTTTGACTTTTAATAGAGACCTACAGGATTATGACATAATGGGACCATCTTTAGACAAGCAAAGATGGAAGAGCATAATGCCTGGGGGTGGGGTAATTAGTTGCGATACGAGCTACGCAGCATGCAAGGTTGACGTATTGAAATGGAGGATGCACATACGGCTGTGATTGCTTTGCCAAGTGGACTTGAAAGGTGGTCATTCTTTGCTGTGTATAACGGGCATCCTGGTTCTCAGGTTGCCAAATACTGCTGTGAGCATTTGTTAGATCACATCGCCGATAACCAGGATTTACAGGGTCTGCAGGAGCACCTTCTTTGGAAAATGTAAAGAATGGAATCAGAACAGGTTTCCTGGAGATTGATGAACACGAGAGTTATGTCAGAGAAGAAACATGGTGCAGATAGAAGTGGGTCAACAGATGTAAGCGTCTTACTTTCTCCCCAACATAATTATTTCATTAACTATGAAGACTCTAGACGTTTACTTTGTAGGAACAGGAAAGTTCATTTCTTCACAAATTGCAAATCCGCTAGAAAAAGAATGAATTCAGAATGCAGGTGGCTCTGTAATGCTTTAGCATGTGAAAGCCTCTCTGGCTGTATCCAAAGCCCTTGGGGATTTTGATTACAAATGTATCCATGGGAAAGGTCCTACTGGGCAGCTTGTCTCACCAGAGCCTGAAGTCCATGACACTGAAAGATCTGAAGAAGATGATCACTTCATTATCCTTGCATGTGATAGTATCTGGGATGTTATGGGAAATGAAGAGCTCTGTGATTTTGTAAGATCCAGGCTTGAAGTCACTGATGACCCTGAGAAAGTTTACAATGAAATAGTCGACACCTGTTTGCATAAGGGAAGTCAAGACAACATGTGTGTGATTTTTTTCTCTGGTTTCCAAATGCACCCAAAGTATCACCAGAAGCAGCGAAGAAGGAGGCAGAGTTGGGCAAGTACCTGGAATGCAGAGTAGAAGAAATCATAAAGAAGCAGGGGGAAGGTGTCCCTGACTTAGTCCATGTGGTGTACACATTAGCCAATGAGAACATCCCCAGACTGCCACCTGGAGGTGAATTGGCAAACAAGCAAAATGTTATTGAAGCCATTTATAAAAGACGGAATCTTTATAAAAATGATGACAGTGACTCCACATCAACTGATGCTATGTGCTAAAACTGCTCATCTAGCCATGGAGTTTACCTTCACCTCCAAAGCTGAGTACAGCTCAGCTTTGTTGAACCTTTTAACATCCGTCCTCAACTTTAAGGAAGGGGATATGACATGGGTAAGAATGATCACACCAGAGAACTTCAGCAGTACAACTTCTGGCTCATAACTGATTTTTTGTTTTTGTAAATTTGACACTTAAGTAAACATGATTTCAAACCATAATTCAAACATACCTTGATCCTCTAGGTAGTACCAGGTGGTACTAATTCTACTGAAACTATTCCAAAAAAATCTAGGAGGAGGGACTCCTCCCTAACTCATTCTATCAAGCCAGCTTCACCCTGAAACAAAAACCTCACAGGACACAACAAAAAAGGAAAACCACAGGCCAATATCTATGATGAAAATAGATGTAAAAATCCTAGCAAACTGAATCCAGTAGCACATCAGAAAGTTAATTTACCATGATCAAGTAGGCTTCACTCCTGGGATGCAAAATTGGTTCAACATATGCAAATCAGTAAATTCGTCACATAAACAGAACTGAAAACAAAAATCACGTGATCATCTCAATAGGCATAGAAAAGGCTCTTAATAAAATCCAACATCCTTTCATAATAAACCATCAACAAACTAGGCATCAAAGGAACATACATCAAAATAATAAGATCCATCTATGACAAACCCAGAGCCAACATCATACTAAACAGGCAAAAGCTGAATGCATTTCCCTAAGATCTACAGCAAGACAAAGATGCCCACTCTCAACCACTTTTATTCAACATAGTACTGGAAGTCTTTGCCAGAGTAATCAGGCAAGATAAAGAAATTCAAGGCACCCAAATAGGAAAGGAGAAGTCAAATTATCTCTCTTTGCAGACTTAATGATTATATACCTAGAAAACCCTAAAGACTCCACCGAAAGACTCCTGGATCCTGATAAACAACTTCAGTAAAGTTTCAGATACAAAATCTTTGTACGAAAATCAGTAGCATTTCCATACACCAATAACGTTCAAGCCCAGAACCAAATCAGGAACACGTTCTCATTTACAGTTGCCACACACACAAAAATAAAATACCTAGGAATACATCTAACCGAGGAAGTGAAAGATTTCTGCAAGAACAACTACAAAACACTGTCGAAAGAAAATACAGATGACACAAACAAATAAAAAAATTCCATGCTCATGGACTGGAAGAATCAATATTGTTAAAATGGCCATACTGCCCAAAGCAATCTACAAATTCAGTGCCATTCCTATCAAACTACCAATTTCATTCTTCACAGAATTAGAAGAAAAAAAACTAGTTCAAAATTCACATAGAACCAAAGGAGAATCAACATAGCCAAAACAATCCTAAGCAAAAAGAGCAAAGTTGGAGGAGGCATCACAATACCCAACTTCAAAGTATACTCTGAGGTGATAATAATCAAAACCACATGGTACTGGTACAAAAGCAGACACATAGACCAATGGAACAGAATAAAGAACTCAGTAATAAAGGTGTGCACCTATAGCCATCTTATCTTTGACAGAATCAGCAAAAATAAGCTGTGAGGAAAGTACTCCCTATTCAATAAATGGTGTTGGAATAGCTGGCTAGCCATATGCAGAAGAATAACCGCAACCTCTCACCACATACAAAACTTACCTCAAGATGAATGAAAAATGTAAATGTAAGACCTCAAACTATGAAAATCCTAGAAGAAAACCTAAAAAACACCAGTCAGGACATCAGCCTTAAGAAATAATTTATGACTCAGTTCTCAAAAGCAATTGTAAATAAAACAAAAATTGACAAGTAGGACATAATTAAAGAGCTTCTGCACAGCAAAACAAACTATAAACAGAGTAAAGAGTGTAAACTTTTTAAAAATCTATTTAACCATCTCACACCAGTTAGAATGGTGATCATTAAAAAGTCAGGAAACAACAGATGCTGGAGAGGATGTGGAGAAATAGGAACACTTTTACACTGTTGGTGGGAGTATAAATTAGTTCAACCGTTGTGGAAGATAGTCTGGTGATTCCTGAAGGATCTAGAACCAGAAATACCATTTGACCCAGCAATCCCGTTACTGAATATATACCCAAAGGATTATAAATCATTCTACTATAAAGACACATGCACACGTATGTTTATTGCAGCATTAATTACAATAGCAAAGACTTGGAAGCAACCCAAATGCCCATCGATGATAGACTGGATAAAGAAAATGTGGCACATATACACCATGGAATACTATGCAGACATAAAAAAGAATGAGTTCATGTCCTTTGCAGGGACATGGATGAAGCTGGAAACCATCATTCTCATAAAATTAACACAGGGACAGAAAACCAAACACCCCATGTTCTCACTCATAAGCAGGAGTTGAACAACACAGACACAGGGAGGGGAACACCACTGGGGCCTGCCAGGGGGTGAGGCAAAAGAGGAGGAGAGCATTAGAACAAATACCTAATGCATGCAGGGCTTAAAACCTACATGACAGGTTGATAGGTACAGCAAACCACCATGGCAGGTGTATACCCATGTAACAAACCTGCACGTTCAGCACGTGTATCCCAGAACTTAAGGTAAAATATAAAAATGAATCTATTTAACCTTTTATGCTACTGAAATTTTCTGCTTGTATTTCAACCTTACATAAGAAAAATATATTTTGTTGTCATATTAAATTCTTTAGTTCTTGCTTAATGTGACCTTTCTCATCTTCAATTGGAAATGTTTTGATTTCAGAAATTATAGCGCATGTTGAAAGAAGTTACTGATTTTTGTCATCATATGTATGCTTATCTGTCTAATTAGGATGATAGTACTAAATTTACTAAGATATGTGTGCATTTCAATGCAATATTAGGCTTTAATTTTTTTTCCTGGGAAAGAATGATGAAAAATTGCCACAAAATTGCATTGCCGGAAAGATAAATTCTATTTGTTTTAATAAAGCACGTTTTAGGCAATTTGGAAATGACTCACCCCTCACTGTTCACTTCGTGCACTGGTTATGATGACCAACATTATGAAGGTAACTAACCTCATGAAGGTAAACTTTTAGAAGAGAGGAGTGAACATCAACACTGACCTTGGTCTTATATTTAATTCTCTGTCTTCTTTGAGCCAATATTACCATAAGTTGTTTACTGAATCACACGTTTACCTAAAATAAATCCTTTTTATGCCGCAGTTATTGCAGGTGACATAGTATACACCTACTAATTGTATATGCCTCTTGATTTTTTTAAGAAAACTTTTCTGCTGGAATGACCACCGAGTATGAACGCAGTTAGTGATTTTCTGCTACATTTAGCCACGTTCTGGGTACTTGATTACACAAATGGCTTTGCTTTTGAGAAGATATGCTTCATTTGAGTTACCTATGAATTTTTTCTTTTATCTGATTAATGTTCCTTAGACTGGTCACAGATGGACTATATGACCAGTAGGGGCATATTTCTGGCAAAAAAAAAAAAGTAATTAATCCTGTGTTTGCTTATTCAATAGATGAATTATAGCCATGCCCCTCTTGAGGAAAAATGAGGATACAAAAAATTAGCTGGGCACGGTGGCGTGCACCTGTAATCCTAGCTAGTTGGGAGGCTGAGGCAGGAGAATCACTTGAACCCGGGAGGCAGAGGTTGCAGTGAGCTGGGATCACGCCGCTGCACTCCAGCCTGGCGACAGTGCAAGACTCTGTCTCAAAAAAAGAAAAGAAATTTTGCAATTATTTATATTTCTTCCTATATACAATTTTCATAATTAATCTTTGAGGAGTAGCTCAATCTCAGTGTAATTTACTTAAGCACCATGCACAAGCAAAACATTTATTAAGAGCTCATGTTTTGACAAGAAAGAAGGCATGTTAATTTCCTGATAATTATTTAGGGCTCTTCATGCCCATAATGTGGGTGGGATTTCACCCAGTGACTCTTACAGCACGACTCTCTATTGCAGATTAAAATATGTTTAATGAATCATCTTCCAAAACCAAAGTCTCGGGCATCCCTCTTTCTACTCTTACGTGGTGTGTCTTCACAGGCGCATGAACGGAACAAGAGTCACGTGTAACAGCACGGCAGCTTCCCAGCTCCACACCCTCTCCCATTTAAATATTGGCCAAGATTCTTCTCGAAGAACAGCTGGTCAGAAGTGAAGGTCCCAAAGGACCTGATAGGAAAAGCTAAGAGACTAAAAGCAAATCTAATTGCAGCTATTCATGCCTTTTCACCAGGATTTCTGAATCCTCTCTCCCATTTCAAAATCCCCACGATAGCCTTCAGGATCCTTGTTGATTCAATTTCTTGAACAGCATTGCCTATTTATACCCGGCTACAAGAGCATCCAAATGAGAGAAAACTCATCCCATGGTATCAGGAGGTTCTCTTGCAGCTCTAGAACCCCTCTGAGCCCAGCAAGGGTACGTTCTACATGGACTGCCACACCCAGCCCCATACAGCTCTCACAACCCTCATGGTGCTTTCATCCTTATGCTTCTCTGGGTTTTTGATCAAGTTGCCTGCCATATACTGCCTCCAATTTACCCAGCCATCCACAGACACTGAGCCATCACATTTACGAAAAAACACAAGATACAAAAATGGACATGTCACTTTGTATTTCTCTCTTTTTTTTTCTCAAGGCTACTAATTAAAAAGTTTTAACAAAAATAGCAATGGAGCCCAATGAATTCTCCAAACAGTTTGTGAAACTCATTCATCACACAAATATGACAGCTTCAGCAGACATGCTCTCAGCCACCCCACACATTGATGCATTCTTTAAACTGTTCCTGTTACAGCCCCTCAACTCCATACCACTAATCTCCCAAAAATGCTCTCAGGATTTAAGCTCTAAGAAAATAGTAAAAATGTATCCATTACAAATGCCATGGCAGCGTCAGGAAATTACCGTATATGGTCTAAAAAGGAGAGGCGTGCGTAATCCACCCCTTGTTTAGCATATAATCAAGAAATAACCATTAAAAATGGGCAACCAGCAACCCTTGTGGGTGCTCTGTCTATGGAGTAGCCATTCTTTTATTCTTTTACTTTCTTAATAAACTTGCTTTCACTTTACAAACTCACCCTGAATTCTTTCTTGGGTGAGATCCAGAACCCTCTCTGGGGATCTGGATCGGGACCCCTTTCTTGTAACAGCTAAAATAGTGCAGGCATGTAATAAGAGCTCAATAAATATTTGTTGTATAGATGATTAAGTGACCAGAAAAGCATCTAGCCATATTGCTTGGAGTTTTCAGAACAAGCATGTTATAGAACCTTAGGGTGTGGAGGGAGACCAATAGAAGACAATGAAAACTGTGGCAAGTTAAGAACATGTTGCATATTTCTTGTGTTTGAAAAAGGGTGTTACTATAGCTGTGCCATGAACGTCTCAGTATGCATAAAATACTAAGAAGGCACTTTTTATATTTCTACATTCTGCAGAGCAGGCTGACAGGTGAGCAGATAGCACAGACCAGGGATAAGTAGTCATAAAATCAGTATTGCTCTGAAATCTGCTCATCCCTAGGAGAAAATGTTTTTCTTTCTTTCTTTTTTTTTTTTTTAAAGACAGGGTCTCACTCCCAAAATCCAGGCTGGAGTGCAGTGGCATGATCTCAGCTCACTGCAGCCTCAGCAGCCCAGGCTCAAGTGATCCTCCCACCTCAGCCCCCCAAGTAGCTGAGACTATAGGCATGAGCCACCATGCCCGGCTAATTTGTGTATTTTTTGTAGATACGGGTTTTCACTATGTTGCGCAGGCTGGTCTCAAACTCCTGGACTCAAGCAATCTGCCCACCTTAGCCTCCCAGCCTTAGTGCTGGGATTACAGGCAAGAGCTACCATGCCCAGCCTGAGAGAAAATGTCATCTATGATGTTGTCAAGTGGTGGTATCAGAAGAAAGCTACAAAGAGCAAATTTGGCATGAATCTTTTATGTAAGTTTCTCTATGTTTTGTGAGCGTGGCACTGATTGCCCTGTGTTCTGGACTATCCATTCAAGGAGCAGCTATGGATATAGAGGTAGTGTCTCCCCTGTAACAAAGGATAAGTTTGCTTACAACTTTGGAAGATAGAGGAGTTATGTCCCCTTGGACATGCTTGCTGCCCGTTATAAACAATTGGGGTTCCCAAAGCTCTCAGGGTCCTCTCCTGTAGTGCAACCTACTGAATGTGCAGGGGCCATCTGACCCTCTTTGTGTTGCCCTGTGGGACTTGGAGCTCAGGAAACTGGCACAAACATGCACATGTTCTGGCTGCTGCTGTTGTTTGATGAATTGTCTTTCATCTATGACCTGGGGTCTTATGAGGTCTATCGACATCCATGAAACTGGGGCAGGCACACTTGTTAGCTTGCAACTAGAGTAAGATTTCAGACCCTTCATAGTCCTTGACAGTTCTGGCATTAAGTGTGGGATGCTGAAAAAGTCATGCCTTTCTAGAAGAGAAAGAATGAGGACTTTATGGGCTGATGGACAAGATTTGAGAAAAGTCCATGGGAATAGGTAGTAAATATGTTGACCAAATTGTATGGTTAGCTGGACAATAAATAGTACTTCACCACTGCCCACTGACGAGGAAAAACTGGGAAGGGGGTCACAGCTGACAATACCAGGAAGCAGGTTCAAAACATCTAACAAATAGTATGTCATTGTTGTCAACTCCTCCAGGCAGAGGAACTTCCTTGAGAAACTGGTGGTCAATCCGGTGCACTGAATTATAGCAACTTGTACTAAGATTCATCCTAGGCCAGCAAAAATGTCCACCCCTTTCTGACAACAGTTTTATAGCTGAATGTCTATACTGAGTGTGAAAGGAGGAAACTTTGGGACCATTATTCTGGGCAGAACTAGGATAATTGTTAGAGCGCTGGCTGGTTCCCTTGAGACATGTGCTAAGGAGGAATGGTAGCAGCTGGGCCATCTTACAGCTCAATGCCTCCTGCAGTCCATCAGGCTAATTGTGGATCCACTTAAGACAACCCTACACGGACTTAGAGTGGTTGGTTTTTGTTTTGGGTTTTGTTGTTGTTTGTTTTGCAGTGCATCCTGGCTGCTATAAGGGAGCATTAGCCTTGTCAAGGAGATTTCTTGATATAGTTAAACTCTTGGAGAAACCATAGAAGAGACATTGACTAGTATTCTGGTCTTACTGCTCCTGATTGGATTTACAATGTTGATATAGGAGACCCACTGGAGAATGAGATATTGACCCAATGAAATTTAGATAAATTCCTGCGGGCAGCAGCATCACCATGGAAAATTTCCCTAGTCTTTATATGGAAATAAGGCAAGAGCTTAAGTGATACTAGCATGGAAATAGAGTTGCAGGTGTCCCACATTAAAGTGAACTCCTTTAAAATGTTGTCCCTGTAAGAGCCAGTCAAGCCTTAGTTGGCCCGAGGATGCAAACCTAGTGGTCCCGGCTGGAAAGCAGTGTGACTGCTGATGAGTTATAGGGTTCTTATGGTGTAAATAAGAGGACCCCCCCCACACACCCAGGAGAGTACTGACTGGGATGAACAAATTTGCAGTTCCTTTGGTTGAACCAAAGCTGCCGCCACGCTGCTCAAAACTGAAGGTAAATGTGAAGTCGCTTACACAGAGCTTCCCTCTTTCTCTGTACTATCCTTCACTCTTTCTCTACCCCGATCTCAGCGACTTTATGGAGACAGAAGATTAGAGGTGGGGTTGAGTCTGTTTCTAAGGTGGAATCAAAGGTTATATCCACCTACTGGAATAAGTTTGGGAATTTTGAAAAGGGGAAGGATTCAAACTTTTATGGCTTTTTGGATATGGGCACTTAGGGAACTAGCCTATGCAGACCCGTGAAAGAAAATGGGTCTAGATTCAGCTCATGAGGTTGGGGAAGTGTTCACTGTGCGAAAAGAAGGTTAACATGACCTTAAGGGTCTATTCAATGTTCTGTTGTTGATGCTTCCACATATGAATGTACGGTAGACACTGATGTGTTATATGATTGTACTTCTTTGTCCCATATTGCCAGAGGCAATGTTTTTGACTGAGAAGAGCCACATGTAGAGAACCCCTAGTGGGACATAGAAATAGCTCCGTACCTTATGTTTCTTTCCTCTCCTAGGTGTTCTATCGGACATAGTATAGCATCTTAGGGAAAGGAAGATCATAGCCTGTTGAAGGACTTAAAGGTAGAAAGAATAGTAAGAGATGCATTAGCCCAATACAACAGCCTTATATAGTCGGTGGAAAAAAAAACCTAACAGGACTGGATTTTCACAGGAGTCATCAACTTGAATTCAGTTATTGCTCCCAACACGTCAGCCGTTGCGGATGTTGCAAAGGTGATTGAATTCATTACACAGATTGATAGCACTTGCTGTGTTGTCTTAGACACTGCTGAAACCCATTTTGACATAGGCCCAGCACCAAGGCATCTAGAATAGTTCTCATTCATGTGGTAAGGTCTCCAATGTATGGTTGCTGTACTCCCCGACTGTTGCCTAAACTTCCCTGCCATTTGCCACAAGGAGCAGGTCAGGATTTAGCACGAGTGCTTCTGTTCTTTAATTTCCAATGTTTTTCCTATCTGTGTCATGTTGCCAAGTCAGAATGTTCATCCTCAGTGGCCCTGACTGTGGCATTATCACACTTCCTCTAGCAAAAGTAACTGATAAATCCTGAAAAAATGCAAAAGAACTGCTTGCCAAGTAAAGTTTTTTATGGAACCATGTGGGTGGATTCACAGTGCTAAGTCCCTCTGGCATCAAGGAAGACTGCTGTCTCATCAGACCTCAAAGCCAAAAAAAAGAAAAAAAGAAAAAGATGCCACATTGCTGGACTCTTTAGGAATTGGAGACAGAATGTACCTCTCTTGGGCATTCCACTTGTCCTTTATATTGGCTTATCCAAAAATCATAATTTGCATAGGGCCCAAACCAACAGTCTCCACTGAAAGCTGTTCAGCGAACTGAAATACGCTTTCCATTTTGGGAACTCACAGGCTTAACTCCATCTTGAGTGACCAGTGATTTGCTACTTTGTGCCTCTGATAAAGAGAAGCTGCCTCCATTCGGAGGTGCCCATTAGGGTCTGGACTTGTCCTCTTCTTGAGACAGACGATGCAGTTAGGGAGAGGGTAAGTCCTGACCCCAATGGGAACGGTGAATGCAGACAGCTTCTCTACCAGAGGCTCCAAGTAGCAAATTATAACGCCCTTTATAAAGCAGCTTCTGACATAAAAAACATGACCTACTGAGGCCTTGTGACTTGCTGGTCTGATATCCACATTGGGCAGCGGGCGGGTCTGTTTGGAATCAATGACAAGTTGGGAAGGGCCCACCGAGCCTTGGCTGGCAAAAGGAAGCAGCATATTTATGAATGCATCCAGGCTGGCCTGAGCAGTATCTTAGCATCCTGGTAGCAACTTTACATACAACATGGTAACTATCTTTTTGGTAGAAACTTTGTCTCCCTTTCTGTCACCTGAGGCTAAGCTGCTACCTCAGTGGAGCCTTCAGTCCACAGTGGTCCCCTAAATGCCTATGGCTGGTTCACTGATGGTTTGGCTGAGTTGAATTACAACAATATCAGCAAGGCTGCTGGGGCTGTTGAATCTCAGTGGCAGCTATGCAGAAAATGAATGTGGTTCTCTCAAGTATGTGGGCACAGCTCAAGGCCATTCTCACTGATCTGGCCAGTATAGTCCTTGGTGAACTTTGTTACATTTTTATTGACTCTTAGGCTGTTCCCAGTGGCCTAGGTGTTTGGCATGCCACTTGGAAAACCACAGACTGACAGATTCCATATGTCCTCTTTGGGATCAAGAACTGTGAAAGTAATTCACAGCTGCTAATCAAAACACGTGGACCACTCACCTAGATACACCACATGAGTCTGTTTTCTGGTAAGACCAGCTGGAAGTAAGCAGCTGACTCAGCTTGCACCACCCAGATTGTTACCTTGGCTGCCTGAATCCATCATTGTATCAGGCATGCTAACATATCCACCGACATAGACTGGATACAAAGGAAAGGACCCTGTATTTCTGATGCAGAGGCCACCATGCAAGCCAGACCTGGGACTCCTGCCAGAAGCTGAACAAACAGCTTACCTGAGGGTAAGGCCACATTGTTTGGGGTATGGCACAAACACATTCTTGGAAGCCTACACTAAGCAGTCAGGTGGTGGTGGTCCTTCACCACTCTTGATTTAATTTAGGTTCCGCTGTGGCTGTTTGAGTTTGATCATCTGACCCTGTGGCATTCTGGGGGGTAGACAAATGCTCTCCATGAATATAAAGGACAGATTGGACTGGCTGACCTCATGCAGTCCCTCCAAAATAAGGATTGACTGCATTACTCAAACTGATCTGGAAATGCCAGGGCTTACCAGCCGTTTGGGCAGCCACACTGGAGGCCCCGGGACTTTTGCCCAAAAACTGATGTGGGTACTACCTGGGGCACTCCAACGAATGTAAACAATGCCTTCTTTCCAGGGACTCTGTGTCCTCGTGAGAACTGTGCTTCTTGTGTGTAGCCACGCATTTTTTACTCTCTTCTTGAAAACACGGTGACTCATACCTTCTGGTGGTCATAAGAAAGTTCACAGATGACCTCAAAGATCCCTCCAAAATGAGGCTCTCATTAGTTTATCCAAAGAGTCTCCTGGAGGGGTAAGTGACACATTTTTTAATGTGCAACGTGTGGGCAGTTATCTGTGCATTGGAAGTCCTCCAATTAGAAATGGTGATACAAAATTTGTCCCTGATTTTAGCTGAAGTGATCAGTGGTGCCAACTTTGCCCTGGAAGACAATAAAATCAGTTTCAGCTCACTGGCCAGGGTTGTTATGGATTATACAATTGTCCTACATTTTCTGCTTGCAAGCCAAGGCAGGGTCTTTGCAAATGCTAATGCATCCTGCTATACTTGGATTAATGCCTTGGGTGAAGTGAAAAGGTCGATACAGAAACTGATGGTTTATGGGATTTGTTTAGCTGGTTAGGCCTGGGATCCCAGGAGCCATGATTGAGGTCACTACTGCTGCTTGGAATCTTGTTGGTAATAGCCTCAATTAAATACTACACAAGACAAATTGAAAGAATGTGTTCCAACCTCTTTCCGTCAGATTAATTACAGTAGTTATTAGAGTGGCATACTCATGGAAAATTCATCAGAATCCAGGATGGTAGAGAAGCAAGGGGCAGATGTTGGGAGATAACCCATCACAGGATTCTCACATTTATCCATATCTTGTGACTTTCTTTGTTTTGGATTGTCTTTTAGAGGATGTTTGTCCAGAAAATAGCCATGGAAGATAGTTCGTCTCTCTAGAGCAAAGGAGAGACGTATTTGCTGTCTCGTATAATAAAGGTATTTTCCCCCCTGTGGATCAAAGGGCAAATGTGCTTACTATCAATTATAAAAAATTTGGGTTCCCAAAGCATTATTAGGCTTCCTCTCCTATAATGCAGCACACTCACATGCAGGTGTCATTGGGCCCTCTTTGTGTTGCTGCCTAAGAACTGGCATTTATGAAACCAGAAAAAAAATCCTGTTATTCTGGCTATGCTATTGCTTTAAGTAATAAACCATCCTTTATCTCTAACAAGGAATCTAATGGCTTTTACCTACCTTCCTGAAATGGTGGCCAGCTAAGTTGCCGGATTGCAAGTAGGAAAGAATCTCAAACCATTTATAGTACTTGACAATAAGTTCCAGTGCATTCAAATTATGTTAGACTTATCCCTCTATTTGGGAGGAATCATCAATTTTGTATGTAAAAATGCACTCTGATTTTCCAGTTAGAAACATGGAAGGCCCAACAGTCACCCCTCTAGGGTGAAGTTTACTAGAGAAAATAAGAGTGGCTGTGTTATTGTGGAAAGACTTATCCTCAAAAAAAGCTGGATCCTCAAAAAAACGGGATGAGTCAGAGTCAAAAAACGACCAAGAAGAGAGTGTTTCTCAAAGGCCCAAATGATGCTGAGGTCCTGAGCAGATTCCCTAAGTTTAATTCTCTACTGCATTACATAGTAGAATGTATTGTGTTTTAGAAGTGCTGCAATTGAAATGTACAGTTCATTCATCCATCAGAGGGAGAAAAGCATCAGGATATGGCAGGCAACACTTGGGGCAAGGAAAGGTACTTGTCATCTGACTCTTTCTTCTTTAGGAGGCAGAATCTTGGAGCGCTCTTCTCTTTTCCCACTTTGCTCTAGCCACACTGACCTTTGGTTTCCTCAAACACACTAAGCCTTTCCCCATTATGGAGATACTTTATGACCTATGACATCTGCCTGAAATGTTCCTTCCCATGATTCTAACAAGACTAGTTATGCTTGCATGCATTCAGTTCATTCAGCAGTTAGTGAGACCCTATATGTGCTCCTATATGTGCCAGGTGTTGTTCCACATTTTGGGGATAAAACAATAATAAAACCCCAAAAGAAGCTATGCATTAATAAAAAATCCTGCCCTCATGGAACTTATATTCTAGTAGGGTGTAGGAGCACAGACTATACATTATGTAAATAAATAAACAAAGTGCTGTTTCAAATAATGGCAAATGCTGTACAGAAAAATAAGCTGGCAAGAGAGAGAGTGAATGGCAGAATAACAGTGGGGATTTTACACAGGGTGTAGGGAACATCACACAAGCAACATGGGAACAAAGAAGAGAGGTCAGTGGTGAGCTGTGTAGATAACTGGGGGAAGATAGGTCAGAGCAGAAGAAATAAGAAGTGCAAAGGCCCTGAGGTGGAAGTGTGCTATGCTGTGTGCAAGGCTGGAGTACAGGGGAAAAGGAGTGGAGAAGGAGGAGGAGCTAAGGTCATGCAAATACTGAGGCTGAATCATGTCGAGTCTTGTAGTTATTGTAGGGACTTGGCTGCTGCTGTGTGAGAAGCAGCAGAGTTTCCATAGTTAGGTGGGCTGAAATGATGGATGATTGGATTGACTGAGGAGAGAAAGAACTATGAGAGAGACAGGAGAGCATATGTCAGAGTAAGTCACAGAGCAAACAATCTAGTGCAAAAGTGGAAAGAGGGACCTTACATAGAAGCACAGGAAGTTCTTCCTCCAGATCAGCAGGAGAAGGCAGCAAAAATGGGTAGAATTGGTTGTTGGGAGAAGAGAAACATCTCTTCTCATTGGTTCTATTTTTGTTTTCCCCCAGAGAAACAGGAGGTAGGCGCCTTACAGAGGGTGAGAAAAGGAGATATTGGGGCTTTGCAGAAATAGTAGGTGGTCGGGCATGGTGACTCACGCCTGTAATCCCATCACTTTGGGAGGCCGAGGCAGGTGGGTAACTTGAGACTAGGAGTTTGAGACCAGCTTGGGCAACGTGGCAAAACCCTGTTTCTACTAAAACTACAAAAATTACCTGGTTGTGGTGGTGATGCACACCTGTAATCCCAGCTACTCGAGGAGCTGAGGCACCATAATCACTTGAACCCAGGAGGCAGAGGTTGCAGTGGGTTGAGATCGCACCACTGCACTCCAGCCTGGGTGACAGAGCAGGGCTCTGTCTCAAAAAGAAACAAACAAAAAAACGAAAAGAAAAAAAGAAATAGTAGGTATACAAGGGACTAGAAAAATGCAGTATGATTGTCAGCAGTGTCAAGTGTCCTCTAGAGGTCCCCGATCATGAATTTCATATGAGACTTCTCATTATGGCTGTGTGTTTTTACTCTAGGCTAAATTCAACTGTCAGTATAGGTGAGAAGTAAGCTAGTCACTGTTTGTATCTCAAAAATGATCTCTTCAGATAAATCTTTTTGCCACTCGAAAGTGGCCACTCAGTAACATCAGCCTGATTTAATTCTTTGCCTTACAAACACCACTATGCATGTTTCTTGTTGACTTAGTTGTCTTTGATGTTACCTGTTTCTAACATGGAAATATGAGAGCCAACCTATTTCTACCTCATTCACTGTTAAGTTTTAAAACATTGCTTGGTATATATTTGATGTTCAATAATATTAAATAAATTATTACTTCCATTAAAGGTGGGTAGAGGGTGTGTGTGTGTGTGTGTGTGTGTGTTAGAGGTTGGCTAATCAGAGATTCATTTGTTTTCCAA
Organism: Homo sapiens; assembly: GCF_000001405.40. Lineage (NCBI taxonomy): Eukaryota > Metazoa > Chordata > Mammalia > Primates > Hominidae > Homo > Homo sapiens. The sequence goes on along the minus strand of NC_000008.11, from coordinate 15,792,082 downwards.
ATACAAATTCAAGCTGGCAAACAGACATCCAACCCATGAACCACAACACTCTCCTACATGTCTGTGGCTTTTTTTTATGTTAGAAAGAAAAAGGAATGTCTTGAACGCTCCTTTAAATACTAAGAAACAGTTCAGTAATTCTTTGTCACCGGTTGAGTTTTCACACTGGAAGAGAGATGATGCAGGTTGGCCTCTTGGATGACCTGAGAGATTACCACTTGTTTGAAGCCCAGTTGATGAGCTGGAGTGGTGAAAGAGCGTGTACTTATTTTATGAAGATACAAAAACATAATCAACAGAAGACCTATGACCTTACCAGTAGGTCAAAGCAGTAATTTTTTTACAACGTAAAAGGCAGAGCTTAAATGAAGTTTCTTAATTTCTCACCTTCAATTATTTTTTCTTATGTGTGAGACAAGAAGAAAGGAAATGGTTTTGTATTTGAGCATTGGCAATGATGTGAAACTTACCGGGAGAAAATCAGGCCTAATATAAAAGAGAAGTTCTAACAGAGCTGGCCAATGATGGAGCAGTATCTCTCGAAACAGTGGTCTCCCCAGTCTTGTCATCCAAGCAGAAACTGGATTAGATGATTTCTAATCCAGTTTACAATGCAATGTAAACCACACATTCAGATGAGCAGAGCTATGCATATAAATTAACATACTGTGAAAACAACTCATAGGGCCTCTACTAATCTTGTGCATGATAGGATTACTACTTTTTACCACTATGGATAATCATATTCCACTATGGATAATCGTATTTCAAGATGCCTGTGTGTGTGTGTGTTTGTGCGTGGGTTGGGGGGGGCGCTAAGAGGCTGGTTGCCCAGTTTGCCTATTATCTTTGCCTTTGGTTCTTTTTCATCATTACATCAGCAACTATATTAACAAATAGGTAAACAATAGGGCAGACAAATTGGCGAAGGTAATTCAGCCATAAACTATTTGGGTGGGGGAATATTGTGAATTTTTTTCTAAGATAAAATCTCTATTCTCTCCATCCCCATTTCCATTACCCTGGGTTTAGTTCATTCACTTTTTGGCCTTGAGTACTGCAATCTCTTCTATACTTGCCCCATACGGTAGTGTAAGTGCCATTTTTGAAATGCAAATTGAACCATGCCTCTCTCCTGCTTAAAAACTTCAGTGACTTGTTGATGGGGTCAGTATCTACTCCTTGAGAAGTCTTCAGGCTCCTTCAGGATACGAACCCCACAGTTGTTTCCAGTCACCTCTATGGCCCCCTCCTCTCCTCACTTGTGACATCTCAGCCATATTGAATTAATTTCATATCCTCAAATACACCTTGATTCTCAAGTTTGAGTTTTTACCAGTTCTATCATTTGTGTGCTTTCCTGGCAAGCTGCTACCATCCTTCAACTATCACTAAACATTGCACCGGTACCTCTACCCTTCTAGGTAGAGGTTGTGAGGTAGGAGACTGGCAGGGCTTACTTCCTGGGTCAAACAGGATGAAGTGAAGAAACTGGCCAGAAACAATAGGTGGCACTGACGGCAACCTCTAGTTACCCTCAATGCCCATTAGTACAAGACACTCCCATCGGCACCATGACAGTTTACAAATGCCATGGTGAGGCCGGGCATGGTGGCTCATGCCTGTAATCCCAGCACTTTGGGAGGCCAAGGCAAGTGGATCATGAGGTTAAGACATGGAGACCATCCCGGCCAACATGGTGAAACCCTATCTCTACTAAAAGTAAAAAATTAGCTGAGAGTGGTGGCATGTGCCTGTAGTCCCAGCTACTTGGGAGGCTGAGGCAGGAGAATCGCTTGAACCTGGGAGGCGGAGGTTGCAGCGAGCCAAAATCACGCCACTGCACTCCAGCCTGGTGACAGAGCAAGACTCCATCTCAAAAAAAAAAAAAAAAAAAAAAAAAGGCCTTAACAATGACCTGTTAGTTACCACTCCTTATTCATGGCAACAACCAGGACGTTACTACCCCTTTTCTAGAGATTTCGGAATAACCTGTCCCTTAACTTGCAAATAATTAAAAGTGAGTATAAATACGGCTGCCAACAGCCCACATGCTTCTGGCTCTGGGTTCACTGCCTAGGAGTTAGCCCTGGTCTGCAAGGAGCAGCTCTGGTTCAATAAACATTGCTGTCTACCACCACCAGCTCACTTTTAATTCTTTCCTGGGCAGAGTCAAGAACCCTGACAGCCTAAACCCCAATTTAGGGGCGTGTCTGCCCTGCATCAGTTGGGTGTCTTCTTTCCGTACCGTTTTTCATTGTCATCTGCTTTTCTTTTTCCTTGTTACTTTTAAGGTCATTGAGAGCAGGGTCTATATCTGTCCTGTTTCTTATTGCAGCCCCAATGCATTTCATAGTTCTTGGCTCCTGGCAAATGTTTCATACATCTTTTAAGTTTTGTTCATTGCAATAGATTTAGAATTGTAGTTTGACTATATATATATATATCTGCATACACAAATATATAATTGACACAGTCACAGGTTGTATGATTTTGTTTATTTTTTGTTAGAATGATTTGAATGTTCAGAATGCTTTTAATTCATAAGATTTCATGGCTTCATTATGCTAATGGCCTTAATTAGGCATCTGTATGACATCCTCTGTCAATCTTGTGAGCTGTCTCTTAAGACTGGCTGATAAATGAACCTACAATTAAAAAAACAAAAATAATGTTCCAAAGTGGCTGGGTTGAGATGATATGAAACACCATTGTTGAAAATGCTATTTTCTATGATTTCATTCTGTAAAGACTGGAGGCTTGGCTGCTCTTGATCATGTGATCACATAGGATATCAGATCCATATTACGGTACACTGAACATTGCAAGCAACTGCTGAGATACACTCACTTTGTTCCTCTGAGTCAGTGACATGAGCCGCCTCGGTGGAATGCACTGTGGCAGGTTATGGGTGACATACAGAAAACAGAAAGGTTTTTACCTAACACTCTGGGAAAATGTGGATAATGCTATTTGTTCATAGTCATGGGCATGCTTGAATGACGACACGGATTCTGTTTCCTTGAAATGGCAAGAGCTTTTAAACAAGCATATGTGAAGCTAAGCCTGAGGGTAAGAATTGCTGGCAGCTGAGGAAAGGGGAGGCGTAGCTTGCCAATGCCATCTGCTTAATTTTCCTAATAATCTAACACCTGCCAATGAGACTCATCTTGTACCCCAAATGTCTGAGAATTGCAGAAACACCAGCAATAACTTCTTTCAAGCCCCTCGCCCTCATTACTAAGAGAGTGGCTTTGCAACTTACCTACTTAGTGTGAAATGATGAGGATGTTAGCATCTCTCAGTGCCATTAAGCCCTGTTTCCTGAGAACCTACAGCATTCTTGGCACATTCTGTTTGAACTAAGAGACTGATGAAATAAAAGGCTGCAGAGAGAAATTAACCTTTCACCTGATAGTACTCTTCCTTTATGTTTCCATCAGCCCCGGGGTAGGCAGTCTGGATGAGGATCTGATTTTCTTCAGTTTTGTTGTAAACAGCTTTGAAATTTAACTTCCTTTTTTTTTTTTTTTTTTGAGATAGAGTCTCACTCTGTCACCCAGGCTGGAGTGCAGTGGCACAATCTCGGCTCACTGCAACCTCCGCCTCCTGGGTTCAGGAGATTCTCCTGCCTCAGCCTCCCAAGTAGCTGCGATCACAGGTGCCTGCCACCAAGCCCGGCTAATTTGTTTATTTTTAGTAGAGAGGGGGTTTCCCCATGTTGGCCAGGCTGGTCTGAAACTCCTGACCTTAAGTGATCCTCCTGCCTTGGCCTCTTCAAGTGCTGGGATTACAGATAAAATTTAACTCTTAAATAAGTACTTACCTCCCCCACAAGAATGGAAGAATGCTTGTATTCTAATGTAAAACAACCAGTATTTAGTTTAATTAGTGGTCAAGGTCTAAACATGTTTTTCAAGTAAGAATTTTCTCCCATATATTCTTGTCTGGTTTTCAAAAGTCCTCACAGCCATAGTCTGTTAAAGCCCTCATCATCCCCATGAAAGGAAGGACTACAGAGGGACAGGGGGCAGGTCAGACCATTCAGGGAGTTTGAAAATGTTCCCCTGAAAGTTATGTACTTCTTCAGAATTATCCTTTATAAATAAGAGAGAATAGGAATATTTGAGGAATAATAATTTACCTGTTATGACTACATAACCTCATTCATCTCTCCAAGTAGTAAATGATGACATTTCTTAATAAATACTGGGCTTGTGATTAAAGTTCAACCTGGCACATGTTAATTCTTTGAAGAATGGGAAGAAATTACGTGAACGGTCTTAATATCACCTCTGGGAAGCAGGTTATATTGTCACGGACACTTTCAATCTAGAATAAAGAGGAATAAGTTGTCTAACAGTAGATACCCTGTGGTCAGATTGATTTTTGTTGCATATTAAGATTTGATCTAGGAAATAGCTCCTATGTGGTGAAAGCATCAAATTCTCATCTTTTGGAACCATATATCATAGAAATAAGAAGTGATCGGTTGTTGTGAGAAAATATACAGAAGTCACTGGTACTGGTCTTATTATTCTAAGGTTTTCATTGACATCATAAAATCCCTCAAATAATATATTTTCCTGACAAATTTTTTAATAGACTGATGCACATACACTCCAGGAAATACAATAATCAAGAATAAATATATAATCTGTTGACGGGATTTCATGCAGACCAAATCATCATGTACTTTGGATTTTCATTGCATTTTATATTCCATGCCTAGTCTTATTGTCAAGGATTGATTCTAACCTAACATTAATCAGCATATTAATATTTTCATTCTTTAATTAGTGTGCATGATGCTGATTGTAAAAATAGCTTGTTTACATGTAGGAATTATTTTTGAAACTAAGTTGAAAGAAATCTAAGAATTTAACACACTCTATACAAAACAACACAACGAAATAATATTTTTCTGAAAATGATGTAATTGGCAGCCTGATTTTACCCAGAGGAAAATTATAAATTAACTCACAGAAGCAGTGTGGTAGGGTGGGTAAAATTTAAAAAGACATAAAAAGCATTGAATATAGCAAACCACAGACCCAAAGTCATTAAGTTCATGACTTCCCTACTACCTTCAAATCTCATCTTATGCCACTCTAGTCTTTTTTTTTTTTTTTTTTTTTTTTGATGGAGTCTCCCTCTGTTGCCCAGGCTGGAGTGCAGTGGCACGATCTCGGCTCACTGCAACCTCTGCCTCCTGGGTTCACGCCATTTTCCTGCCTCAGCCTCCCAAGTAGCTAAGATTACAGGCGCCCACCACCACACCCAGCTATTTTTTTTTAATTTTTAGCAGAGACAGGGTTTCACCACCTTGGCCATACTGATCTTGAACTCCTGACCTCGTGATCCACCGCCTCGGCCACCCAAAGTGCTGGGATTACAGGCGTGAGACACCATGCCTGGCCCACCCTAGTCTATCTTTAATGAGTTTTCTGTATATTTCAAGTGTGCCTACCTGCATGCGTGTTTGTATGAAGACTAAGGGAACTAGAAATGCACCAGGCAATCTTTTTCTCTATTCTGCATCCTTGATCAGTTCTAGATTAAAAGAGAAGAAATGATTGCTATTGAAAATCCTTCTGAAAAACAAGAATTCTCAATTTTCTTACTGTCCTTTGAGTACTTTCTCTCTTTTATAGCTTCCACATTATTTTATCTTTCATTTTAAAGACACATTAAAATATTTTCCCCTTAAAAGTAGTCTATATAGAGACAGACTGTACCTTTAGATGAATGTTTTCAATTCACATAAATTTTCAGGATAATATTTAATAACTTACTACTTCATTGAGATAGTGTCAGATGGTTTAAGTTGTCAATTTGTTTTCAACTTTTATCAGGGACAAGCTTGTATGTAATGAAGTTGCAGTGGTCTCTTTAGAGGTGTGAGAAACATTTGTGCTTAGTCTGCCATCTTAAACTGGAGTATAGTATAGATTTAAAAATCTTTTACATTTAAAAGGTTTAAAATTCTATTGTATACAAAATTTATTAGCTTTGGGCAGAGTAACTATACAAACAATACATAATTTTTAAAACATCTCAAGAATGTATAAAGAATTAACACTCAATTCCTATTTAAGTTAAATTGCCTTTCATATAATACATTTAAATATTTTAGCTAATAGTGTTGGAAATTCTTTTTTTCTTTTTTTTCAAACAAGCAATTGGACCATGCAGCATAGAACTTCTGAAATGTCTCTATCCAGGAGGATAAGTTAGATGATCAGGACTGAATTTGGCTCTTTTCATTTCCTGGCACGTTAGCTCATTATGGTAGCTAGAATGCTTCGTGATATGTTAGGCATCTATTCTGTACTACCAGGCGTTCTAGATTGCAGAGCTCCACGTGAGGCCCATTAATAACCTTATTGTCCATCTCTTTAAATAATCAGTGTGTGTGTAGGAGGCAGGGGCATGGTTGGAGGTAAGGGAGTGGAGAGGTGTTGCAGTGCTCAGATTGCGCAGTTTTCAATTTACTTATCTCTAAAACAAGGAATAACGTCCCCCAACTCCCCCCTGTCCTGAGAGTCTCAGAGGGCTGTTTTCCAAAGAAGGTCAGGATGGTAGTTCAAGAAAGGTTAAATGGTGACTGAATAGAAAAAAAAAAAAAGGAATGAAAAAAGTGTCCACAATAATTAATGTACTTTTAATATGATAATGCTTATATTTTAAAGATATCTAGGCTAAGACCTAAAAGCAAAGGAACCTTATCATTTCTATCTTGACTTAGCAATGTATTGGTTGTACCAATATGTGGGTGAGTTACAAAAGTGAAGAAGATTTTTATTAGTCTCTTAATTTACAGTTTCTTTCTATATAGGTAACAGATCTTCTTTTTAAAATTTCAGTAGTTGTGGAGGTACGGGTCGTACTGGTTACATGGATATCTTCAGTGGTGATTTCTGAGATTTTAGTGTACCCATCACCCAAGCAGTGTGCACTGTACCTAATATGTTAGAAATTCATTCTTTAGTGGATTAACACATTATCCTTTTTTCTTCTTTTAAAAAAATGCATTTTTAATTGAAAAATAATTGTGTGTATATATATATATATATTAGGTACAATGTCATGTTTCTGTACATGTATGTATTGTGGCATGATCAAACTGGCCTAATACATCCATCATCTCACATACTTATTTCTTTGTAATGAGAATATTTAAAATCTACTCTTTTAGCAAATTTTAAAAATACACAATACATTGTTATTGACTGTAGTTGCTGTGCAATAGGTAACCAGAACTTACTTTTCCTAACTAAAACTGTCCCCTTTGACTATCATCTCTCCTTTGCCTCTCCTCTCCTCAGCCTCTGGTAGCCATCATTCCATTCTCTGCTTCGATGGGTTTGACTCTTCTGTATTTCACATGTAAGTGAAATCATGCAGTATTTGTCTTTCTCTGCCTGGCTAATTTCACTTAGCATAATGTCCTCTAGATTCATCTCTGTTGTTGCAAATGATAGAATTTCCTACTTTTTAAAGGCTAAATGGTATTCCACGGTGTGTGTGTGTGCATACACACACACATATGTATATATATATATGCACACACACACACACACATACACATAACATTTTTCGAATCCATTCATTCATGATGGGCACTTCAATTTTTTCATATCTTGGCTATTGTGAATAATGCTGCAATGAACATGGGAGTGCAGTCATTTAATACACAGTTTCAAATTTGTTGGACATCCTGTTTTTCCACATTTTATTTTCAATCTCACAAGTAGGAGTGCTGGATAATCTATTTTTAGTGTTTTGAGGAACCTTCACATTGTTTTCTAAAATGGCTGTACTGATGTACATTCTCAGCAGATACTGTACAAGAGTTCCCTTTTCTCCACATCCTCACCATCACTTACTTTTTCATTGTTTAAAAATCATAGGCAATCTAATGGTTGTGAGGTCGTATCTCATGGTTTTAATTTGTACATCCATGATTATTAGTGTTGTCGAGCATTTTTTCATATATCTGGCCTTTTATATGTATTCTTTTGTGAAATGTCTACTCGGGTCCATTGCCCATTTTTAAAATAGTGTTATTTATTTTCTTATTATTGAGTAGTTTGAGTTACTTATATATTTTGTCTGTTAGCACTTTATCTGATGCATAATTTGCTAACATTTTCTCCCCATCTGTGCGTTCTCTTCATTCCACTGCTTCTTTTGCTATGCAGAAGATTTTGTTTCACGTAATCCCATTTGCAGATTTTTGCTTTTGTTGCCTGTCCTGTTGGAGTTATATCCAAGAAATTACTGCCCAGACCAATGCCATGAAGCTTTTTCTCCTTTGTTTTCTTCTTGTAGTTCTACAGCTTCTGGTCTTATGTTTAATCCATTTTGAATTGATTTTTGCATAAGGAATGAAATACAACTTCAAATTCATTCCTCTATAGTTTCCCCAACACCATTTATTAAAAAGATTGTCCTTTCTCTATTGTGTGTTCTTGACACTTTTGTCAAAAATCAATTGACCATAGATAACTTGGGTTTTTTTCTAGAGTCTGTATCCTATTCCATTGGTCAATGTGTCTGTTTTTATGCCAGTACCATGTTGTTTTGAATACCATAGCTTTGTAATATATTTTGAAATGATGTAGTGTGATGCCTCCAGCTTTGTTCTTTTTGCTCATGATTGCTTCAGCTATTTAGGATTTTCTGTGCTTCCATATACATTTTAGGATTTGTTTTTCTATTTCTGTGAAAAATGACACTGGAATTTTGATAGGGATTGCGTCAAATCTGTTAGTGGATAGCACATTAAAAAATGTCACACTTTGGACAGTATGAACATTTTAACCACATTCTTCCAATCCATGAACATGGGATACATTTCTATTTATTTGGGCTACTTTCATTTTTTTCACTAATATTTTATAGTTTTCAGTAAACAGATCTTTCACCACATTGGTTAAATTTACTCCTAAGTATTATACTTTTTAAATGCTATTGTAAGTGGAATTGTTCTCTTAATCTTTTTCAGATAGTTCATTGTTAGTGTATGGAAATGGTGATTTTTGTATATTGATATATATCCTACAACTTCACAAAATTTATTAGTTATAACGGTTTTTTTGGTGGAGTCTTTAGTATTTTTTTTATCACATCATGTTACCAGAGACACAATTCGCTCTTCCTTTTCAATTTGAACATCTTTTGTTTATTTTGACTCATTACTCTGGCTAGAACTTCCAGGATTATGTTGAATACACGTGGTGAGAGTAGACATCTTGGTCTTGTTTCTTAGAGAAAAAGCTTTGAACTTTTCACCATTCAGATGTTAGCTTTTGGCTTGTCATACATGGCTTTTATTTTGTTGAGGAACATTCTTTCTGTAAGTAATTTGATGAGAGTTTTTATCATGACAGGATGTTGAATTCTGTCAAATGGTTTTAGTACATCTATTGAGATTAATCAAATTATTGTTTTCCTTTGTTCTGTTAATATGGTGAATTATATTTATGGATTTGTGCATGTTGTTGAGCCATCATTGCATCCCAGAAGTAAATCCCACTTGATGGTGAATAATGTTTAATATATGAGTATATTCACTTTGCTAGTATTTTCTTTTATTCTTGAGACAGGGTCTCACTGTGTCACCAAGGCTCGAGTGCAGTGGTGCATTTATAGCTCACTGCAGCTTCAAATTCCTGAGCCCAACTGATTCTCCTGCCTCACCCTTACAAGTAGCTATGACTACAGGCACATGACACTATGCCTGGCTACTTAAAAAAAAATTTTTTTTTGTACAGATGGAGTCTTGCTATGTCACCGAGGCTGGTCTTGAACTCCCAGCCTCAAGCAATTCTCCTGCCTTGGCATCCCAAAGTGCTGGGACTACAGGGCCAGTTTACTCATATTTTGCTGAGGACTTTGCATCCATGTTTATCAGGGATATTGGTTTGTAGTTTTTCTTTTTTTGAGATGGAGCCTTGCTCTGTCGCCCAGGCTGGAGTGCAGTGGCACGATCTCGGCTCACTGTCACCTCTGCCTCCTGAGTTCAAGCGATTATCCTGCCTCAGCCTCCCAAGTAGCTGGGATTTATAGGCACCTGCCACCACATCCAGCTAATTTTTGTATTTTTTAGTAGAGACTGGCTTTTGCCATCTTGGCTAGGGTGGTCTGGAACTCCTGACCTCTGGTAATGCACCTGCCCTGGCCTCCTGAAGTGCTTGGATTACAGACATGAGCCACCGTGCCCATCCAGTTTTCTTTTCTTATAGTAGCTTTGTTTGGCTTTGGTATCAGAGTGATTCTGGCCTCATAAGATGAGTTTGGAAGCATTATTTCCTCTTCAGTTTTTTGGAAGTTTAGAAGGGTTGGTATTAATTCTTTGAACGTTTCATGGAATTCACCAGTGAAGCTATCTTGTGTTGGGCTTTTCTGTGATGGAAGACTTTTTATTACTATTTCAATCTCTTGGCTCATTATTGGTCTATTCTGATTCCATTTTCTTTTTTTCTTTCTGAATTTTTTTCTTTTATCATCCCACTTCCTTCTGGCCTGCAAGGTTTCTGTTGAAAAAGCCACTGATGGTCTTATTGACTGTCTTGTATGTAACAAGTTGCTTTTCCCTTGCTGCCTTCAAAGTTCCCTCTTTACCTTTTGACAGTTTAATTGTGTTATATCTCAGTGTGGGTCTCTTCATTGTTTGTCCAAACTGCTGTGTTTGTTTTACGTGGGCCCCAGAAGATTAGGATATACCATATACTCTCAGTACAATGAGACAGGTAAGGTAAGAGCCAGACCTATTGGATGCATTTGGAAAGGTTGGGGTTCCACTTCCTTGTATCCCCATCATGAAGCCGAGAGTGAGTGATTTATTTCCATTCTCTCTGCACCCAGCTTGGGAGAGGAACTGTGGCATATGCCTGCACCTGTGCTCAGACAGCACCCTTCCTTCCAGGAAAAATGGGCAGACCTGGATCTACATCGCTGGGGCAACCTGGGAAAGAACACTCAGGAAGTGCTAAGCTCCTGCTCAGGCTGCTGGAGGGCTTCTGTTTGTCTGTCCCTTTAACTACCTGATACAAGTTAGTTAGAAGCCAGGCCATTAAGTAGCCACAGGAAGACTGTGCTTTAACTCCCTACTGGGGTAAAACAAGGAGCTTTGCTCTTTAGCCTCTTCTCTATTCTATTCCCAAGGATACAGCCTTTGGAAATGGTTGCATACCCTCTATCTTTTCACTTTCTCACTTAGGGAAACTTACATATTCTCAGTTTCCCCTGCTCCTAGAGCTAGGAGATTTAGCATGCAGCTAGCCCCTCAGGTGGTAGCTGTAAAAAGCTGGGGTGCTCATTGCCCACACAAACTTCTTCCAGGAGGAAACAGTAGACCTGAAGTTATTGCTGGGGTGAGCCAGGGAAGAGGGATGAGAAAGTGCCCAGGTCCTACTCGGGCTGCTGGAAGTCTAAGGCTAGTTGGCCACATTAGCTCTCTGATGCAGACTAGTCAGAAGCTAATGGTCAGCAGCAACAGGCGGCAGAGTATGCTGGCAAGTGCCTTCCAGAACAACTGGGAATATTTGAGTTTTCTCTGCCCTATTCCCAGGAATGAAGCCCCTGCAAGTGTTTGTGTGTCCATACAAAACTGCACTTTTTTTTCTGTGGTCTAGAGACTCTTGTGTATGCCTAGTCCCCTTTGTTCCAAGTTGATGAATCAAGAGCCAAACCATGGGGAACCTTTGAGTTAGGACACTGTATGTGTGGCCCAAACTCTCCTCCCCTCAGGGAACAGCTGTATGTTAGGAATTCCTTTCCAACTGTATTGTGCAGTACCTGGGGTGGGGTCCATGCCCAAGTGTGCCTCAGCTTTGCCTACCCATTTAAGGTTGATATTCTTAGTTGCCCAGTTCATCAGAATCTTTGAATTCCTGATTTTCTCTGAAAGGGAACTGACTCATGAACATATGTTTATTTGGTGCATCTGTGTGAGTGAAGTCAGGAGCCTCCTATTTTACCATGTTGCTGACATCACCATATTATTCATTTTCTGAATGGCATAACACATTGCTAGTTTGGTGTAAGGCAAGAGGATGAAGAAAACAGAATTCAAATTATGTTTCACTTTCCAGAATCTTCAGTACAGTGTTGAATATAAATGGTGAGAAAGACCGCTCGTTTTGTTTCTGATCTTAGCAGGAACGCAAGCATTAAGGCTTTCACCATTAAGTATGACACAGACTATAGCGTTTCTGTAGTTGCCCTTTATTAGTTCCCTTCTGCCTAGTTTGGTGAGAGTTACAATCAGAGGTAGATGTTGAGTTTCCTCTAGGAATCTGGATTTACAGATTATGGTAAAACATATAATGATGACTTTTATGCTTACCAAAAATAGCTGATCTTTTTAAAAACACGCAATTAAAAAGACTAACTTTTGATACTCTTTTAATCAAATGCTAGGCATATGTTACATTTTTACTCTTCCTCTTTTCAGTAATTATCGATGTAAATTGTAAGAACATATTAATATTGTAATTACTGAAGTTTTTAAAGTACTTACTGAAATTTTAAATTATGTTGTCTTAATTAGCAGTGTGACGACGTTTAGACAGCTTCCATATTACAGTGGTGTCAATACTCCTTCAGCTTTTGTACTTTTTTGTTTCCTGAGTTCTCATGTTTGATTAATCACATGGTTAAAGGATATTTTTGGATAATTTTTATTTTTTATAAAAGTGCATATGTGGGCTGGGCACAGTGGCTCATGCTTGTAATATCAGCACTATGGGAAGCCCAGGTGGGAGGACTGCTACATGGTAGGAGTTCAAGACTAGCCTGGGCAACAAAGCGAGACCCCAATCATATAGTTTCTATCCAAGGTCCTGGTTTCCCTTGTTGGAGATACATGGGGTTTCCCCGATACTACTGGCGACAGTATTTCTCTCTGGATAACCTAAAGTGGAATATACTTACTCTTTTACTAGAAGTAACGTGGAAAAAAAAAAAAAAAAAAAAGAAAACATTCGAGGGTGGCCTGCTTCTAGTACTTACCCAGGATGTATGTGAACGTAACTGAAATAGACTATTCCAACTCCAGTCCTAGTGCTGAGGAATTACTAAAGTAAAGCTTGTGTAGAAGTGATATTATTGTGAATTAAATAGCCTTTTGGGTTTCATGTTCAAATATAATTAACGTAAACTCAGAAGGACAGAAAACTCTAAGTGCCTCATCTGTAGTCATTGTTCTGTATCTAACTCAAGTCTGAATGATTTGCATAAAGAGTTTCTTGGTGTAACTTTCATTCCCAGATAGTCACAGTAGCCTAAGGATGTTAATTTTGGAGGAAATTCCTTTTGTGGCCAGTAATAGGGCCCTTTCTCTAAGGAAAAGGTATGTTTTTGGGAAAAGCAGATTTGGAAATTTACACTTTCCCTATTTGGCATAAAAATCTAGGTAAACAGGGATTCTAAGTGATACATAAAGAATCATGAATTATGGCCCTGCCTACTTGGAAGAGAAAGGGGTGAGAAAACTTACTGTGTTACCTAATAATACTGGCTGCTTTTATATTGTGTTCGCATGGTGATGATAAATGTGGGAAGCAGCTAAAAGAGAAAAGATGCTTGTATTAAAAAAAAAATCATTAATAGTTTTCTTCTGTGAGTCAGGCTTGAATTTAGTCCCCAGGCATAGCAGATGCTGATTAGTCAATAACAACTAATATTAAGAGCCCAGAGATTTCTGTTTTGTCTCCTTGTCTGTTTTTCCCAGGACCCTAAAAGTAAACTGTAATTGGGAAAATGTTTTTCAGTACTGGTAATACTCTCACCTCATCAGTCAGATTACGTTAGTATGAATTGCAGTTTTCAGAATAAGTGTAGTAAATCAGGTCTTTATGGAAATCAGGTGGGAGAGGCAACTTTGGTACTTAAGAAGTAATTCCTAATTAGTTGGAAACAAGGGTGATATTAGCCGGTGGTGGTTTGTTTTTTGGTTTTTTGTTTTTTTTTTTTGCCTTAAAGTGTGGGCTCTGAGTCTGATGTCACTCAGATTGAAGGCAGAGTCTCTGATTGAAAGCACAATCCTACTAGGATTGGTAGGGGGCAAGGAGAGGGAAATCAAGATGTTTTTCAATGCTCTTTTTATTTGAAAAATTTAGGCATAGACTTTTTGCTCATTTCAAATCTGGTCCATCTACAACGAAGTTAAACTAATTCCTCCAAGGGACTGACACACTTCATATTGATAACCTTAATTTTTAAGAATATTTATGAATATATACTTCTTGTGTGTGTCTGTATATATCTGTATATAATATTTTAAAAGGGAATTCCTGTAAAGGAGATAATTCAGGAAGTTAGCTAATTGCCATTATAGTCCAACAACCTTTAAGCATTTACCTTTGCCTCTCTGTGTCTTAGACATTTATAAAGTGTATACTTGTCTTATGAACTATTTAAAGTTGTCAGGATGAAATAAAATTACGTGCAAAAATTTCAAAAAGTAAAGGCACTAAATAAAAAGGAAGTACTATCATTTATATGCTTCATATCTGCTTCAATTCAGAGATTTTGTCTTTCTTGTCTTACCTACTTAAATATAGCACAGTGAAAATTTGAATTATATGTTCATGTGTGTATTTAAGCAGCATACATGGGGATGTATATATTTTACCCAGTAATTTTTGAGCTTTGGCACCAAGATATGATAAATCTCCCTTTATAGGTAACACAAACTGCAGTCAAGGAAATACGGAGCTCAGGAAAGTTGCTGAGGCACACTATGCCTTCTTTTCCTTCAGCTTTGGGAACAGCTTGGTAACCCCTCCCAGCTCCCGAAAAGGTGGGGGGGAAGTTACAAGATACCTTGAATTTTCATTGGTATGCTTTGTTTGAAATGTTATTCTTGATATGATTGGAAGTTGGAAATTTTAAGAAGTAGCTGATTTATCTTTTAGTTACCCTACTCCAGAGTCTAAGAGGAGGCCAGGAAAAGTCTTCTTTGTTTCCTGTTCTTCAAAGAAGATTCTAGCTGGAAAAGAACCTTGTAAGACTTAAAAACCGAGAACATGTAAAATACATTTTTTGGATTTCACAACCTGTCTACATGAGATACGGCACCACTACTGTATTTTAAAGGCAGAGATAGCAACACACAGAAGTTAAATTATTTTTTTTTTGAATGAACACATGACAGTGTTACACGTAAAATTTCAGTCTCAAGTTTTTTGCCCATCATGTTACCCTGTTTCTTTCACATAACAGTAAAAGGGCTAATCTTACAGAGTTTTTATAGAATCGTTCTGGAAGACACCAATGAAAATGACAGTATCTGAAGAATGCCTTAAAAGAATACTTTGTGATGGTAGAATATAGCACAATTGGTAATAAAGTTACTTAAGTGATAATATAGCTCACTGCCAATTATTGAGTATAGGGATGAGGCAAAAATATTACTATAAATTTCAAAAGAATGTAAAAATTGATTCGAGGATCTAGCACAGAAGTGCTAGATTTTAAAACTTAAAAATTAAATATTAGTAACACAATGAAGTTTTAAAGAGGGCTGTGCTGAAACTTACCAATATGAATAGACAGACATGGGCAGATGAGAAATTCCTGCAGGCTGACATAGGGCTGAACATTGAAAACATAACTGACATGTCAAGTACTGTAAAGGTGCTTCAAAAATAGTATTCCTTAGTTATCAAGCAATAGCCTTCTCTCCCAAGATGAATGGTAAGACGTGTGTTTCTTTTTGTTAGGATATTTGCCCATTCATAAAATAAATAAAAACGTGTTAAAGATAGAATCATTTCTTCCTTGAGAGGCCACAGGAAAAAAATAAAAACACCTTTTCATTACATGTTTATAGGTAAAACTGAGGCCCCACGTATTTTTAATTTTAGCTTTAAAATTAGGCTGAATCTTGTTCATAATCAGCTGAAAAGTGTTTGATATAAAAGCAATTACCAGTTAAAACATCATTCAAGGCTACTACCCTCTCCGTCATGATAAGATGCCAGTGCTTTATCATAGAGAAACTATTCTGTATTTGGAGAATAGTGAATTAGATGAACACATCTTTTCTACAGTCAAACTATACAGTAAAATTTAGGAATTGAGAAATTATTAACCTCATCCCCATTATTTAAATATTAAATGTTTCCTTTTTCTGCATTGGTTTGAATATCTTGTTCTCTGTCCATTTTCTCTTGCTTTCCACACTAATAAGCATCTTGCTCCTATATAAAGGCACAACAGGAAAAAGAATCCATTCAGGTGCAATGGCTCCTTCTCTTAAAAGAATTAAATGGTGCCTTTTTATTACGGAAGATATATATATATATATATATATATATATAGTGTAATATATAGTTATATATGTTTGTGTGTGTATATATATGTATATATGTGTGTGTGTACATATGTATTTATGTGTGTATATATGTATATGTGTGTGTATATATATATATATATGTGTCTGTATATATATATGTACATACATGTAAATATTTTTGGTCATGACAAGGCTAACTGGGACACTGAAGTCCGGATAAGAGAACCATGTCTTCTTGAATAGCATTAGTAGGTTGTTAAAATACCTTTATATAGCTGTATGCACAATTTGTATTGTGGTGGTGATAAAATGCAGGTAGCATAAAATTAATCATTTTAAACTTAATACGTATAATTGAGTAGCATGAAGTACATTCACAATATTATGCAATCATCATCACTCTCCAGAATATTTTCATCACCCCTAAAATAACCCTCAAGCCACTAAATAGTCACTCCCCATCCTACCCCTCATCCAACCCCTGGCAACCACGCATCTGCTTTTTGTGTAGGAGTTTTTCTGTTCTGGGCATTTCATATAAAAGGAATGATATACTATGTGGCTTTTCGTATCTGGCATCTTTCACTTGTTTTCAAAGTTCACTCATGCTGCAGGATGTAACAGTACTTCATAACTTTTTTATGGGTAAATAACATTCTAATGCATGGATATATCAATTTTGTTTATCCACTCCTCAGCTGATGAACATCTGGGTTGTCTTCCCTGTTGGCAATTGTGAATAGTGATATGAACATTTGTGCAAGTTTTGTTTAAACACCTATTTTCCCTTATTTTGGATATATACCTAAGTGGAACTGCAGTGTCATATGGTAAGTCCGTTTAATTCATTAAAGAACTACTAATTTGTTTCCAAAGTGGCCAATTCATTTTAAATTCCCACAACGTATGAGAGCTTCATTTTCTTCACATCTGCACCAACATTTTCCTTTAAAAAAAAAATACATTCTGATGGGTGTGAAGTCACACATCAGAGTGATATGTCATTTTGATTTTGATTTGCATTTTCGGAGTAACTGATGACATTGAGCACCTTATGTGATTGTTGACATTTGTATATTTTACTCTGATGTTTACTCAAGACCTTGGCTCATTGTATTAGTTTCCTAGAGCTGCTGTAACAAAGTACCACAAAATGGATGGGTTAAAAGAACAGAAATTTACGATCTTAATGTTCTGGAGACTAAAAGTAAAAAATCAAGGTCTTGGCAAAGTCATGCTACTTGTGAGACCTTTATGGGAATCCTTCCTTGCCTCTTCCTAGCTATTGGTTTGCTGGCAATCTGTGGCACTTGCTGGCTTGTAGTCAGGCGAATCATCCATCTTTATATGGTTTTCTCCCTGTATCTGTCCATACATGGCTTCCTTCTTACAAGGGCACCAGTAATACTGGATTAGGAGCATTCTTATTCCAGTATGACCTCATCTTAACTAATTACATTTGCAGTGACTCTATTTCCAAGTAAGGATGTACTCTGAAGTACTCGGATCAGGACTTCAACTTATCTTTTTTGAGGAGACAAAATTTGACGCTTAAACTCCATTTTTAATTGAGATTTTGTCTTTTGGCTATTGATTTGTAAGAATTCGTTATATATTTTGGATACTAGGTCCTTATCAGATATATGATTTGCAAATATTCTCTCTATTACCATGGGTAATTGCTCTCCATAGTGCTTTTAATGCACAAAAGTTTTTAATTTTGAGGTCTAAGTTATATTTTTATTTTGTTGCTTGTGCTTTTGAAGTCATATCCAAGAAACTGTTGCCAAACCCTAGGTCAAAAGAGTTCACACCTATGTTTCTAAAAGTGTTATAATTTTAGCCCTTAAGTTTACATCGTTGATCCATTTTGAGTTACTTTTATGTATACAGTGTGAGGCAAGGGTCCAACTTTATCCTAGTTTTGCATGTGGAAATCCAGCTGATGGTTTTGGCACTCTTGTTGAAAATCAATAGAGAGGTTATGGGTATGTTTTTGGATTCCCAATTCCATTCTATTAATCTATATGTTTATCCTTACACTAGTGCCTATGTTTGGTACCTGGTAGTTGTGTTTCCATTATTGTAGAATTGTATTAAGTTTTCAAAGTGTGAGTCTTTCAACTTGGTTCTTTTTCAATAAATGCTTTGGCTATTCAGGACCCCATGCATTTTCATATGAATCAGCTTTCTTATTTTTGCAAAAAGGCCACTGGATTATAATAGGAAATTGAATTTGTAGATCATTTTGAGAAGTATTTCCATCTTAACAGTATTATGTTTTTCAACGTATGAACTTGATGTATTTCTATTTGTTTAGGTCTTTTTTTAACTTCTTTCAGCAATGTTTTGTATTTTTAGTTCCTTGGTTAAATCTGTCCAAAAGTATTTTATTATTTGGTTCTATTATAAATGAAATTGTCTTAATTTCCTTTTTCAGACTCTTCATTGCTAGTATATAGAAATACAATTGGATTTTGCATGTTAACCATGTATCCTGCAACTCTGGTGAATTTATTTTTAATCATTTAAAAAATTCTTCGTTTTACTTTATGTATATCATGCCATCTGTGAAAGGAAGTAAGCATTATGTCTTCCTTTCCAATTTGGTTGTCTTTTTGTGTCCTTACCTAATTGTCCTACCTAGAACACACAGAATAATGCTGAATAGAGGTGGCGAAAGTAGGCATTCTTGCCATGTCCCTGATTTCAGGGGGAAAGTTTTGTTTTTAACCATTGAATGTTATGTTAGCTGCTGGTTTTTCACAAATACTCATCCTGATAATGTTGAGTGTTTGTGTTCACTTTTAAATGATGGATGGGTATTAGATCTGGTTAAATGCTTTTTCTGCATCAACTACATCATTATGTAAGCTTTCCCTCTTCATTCTGTTCATGTGGTGTGTTACACTGATTTTCTTTCTCATATGTTGAACCACCTTCGCATTTCTGGAATAATTCCCACTTGGTCATGCTGTATAAAACTTTTAGTATCCTGCTGGATTGTTTGCTAGTATTTTGTTGGATTTTTACATGCACTGTCATAAGAGATAATTAATTACATAGGAGATAATTTTCTTAGTGTATTTGGTGTGGTGTCAAGGTTAATAGTTGCCACAGAATTAGGAAGTGTTACTTTCTCTTCTATGTTTTGAACTAGTTGAGAAAGATTGTGTTCATTCTTTAAATATTTGGTGTAACTCACCAGTGAAGTCATCTGGTCTTGGGTTTTCCTTTATTGGGAGGTTTTTAATAACCAGTTCAATCTCTTGTTAAGAGGTCTGTCCATATTTTGTTTTTGTTGAGTAAATTTTCATAGTTTGGTTGTTTCTAGGAATATGTCCATATCATTTAGGTTATTTAACTTTTGGTATACAGTTATTCTCTTATAATCCTTTTTATTTCCGCAAGGTGGGTATTAATGTTCCCACTTCCATTTCTGATATTAGTAATTTGTATCTTTTTCTTAGCACAGCTAAAGGTTGGCCAATTTTTTTGATATTTCAAAGAACCAACTTTCGGTTTCATTGACTTTATTGTTTTTCTTTTCTCTATTTTGTTTAGCTCTGCTCTGATCTTTATTTCTATACATCTGCTTGTTTTGGGTTTGTTTTTCTTTTTCCAATTCTTTAAAGTGTACTTGGGATATTAATTCAAGATCTTTCTTTTTCTTTTTTTTCTTTTTGAGACGGAGTCTTGCTCTGTGGCCCAGGCTAGAGTGCAGTGGCGCGATCCTGGCTCACTGCAAGCTCCGCCTCCTGGGTTCACGCCATTCTCCTGCCTCAGCCTCCCAGGTAGCTGGGACTACAGGCGCCCTCTACCACACCTGGCTAATTTTTTGTATTTTTTAGTAGAGATGGGGTTTCACCGTGTTAGCCAGGATGGTCTCGACCTCCTGACCTTGTGATCCGCCTGTCTCGGCCTCCCAAAGTGCTGGGATTACAGGCGTGAGCCACCGTGCCCGGCCTTTCTTCTTTTTTTTAATACAGACATTTCCAGCTACAAATCCCCCTCTGAACATTCCTTTTTGTGTATCTCATAAATGTTGGTATGTAGAATTTTTGTTTTCATTTGTCTTCAGGTGTTTTCTAATTTCCATTATGACTTCTTCTGTGATCCACTGGTTGTTTTATATTATTTATTTTCCACATATTTGTTAGTTTTCCAGTTTATTTATACACTGTAGAGTTTTTAATTTAGAGGTTCACAAGATTTAGTTACTGTATTATGCAATCTTTTAAATTACATGAAACAAAGTTACAAACCAAAAATAATGCCTTTATATTTAATCTATGCAGTTATTTCTTTTAATAATGTTTTTCATTTCTTTGTATGACTCTCAGTTGTCCTTTCAGCTTGAAGGACTCTTCAACTTGGTTCTTTTTCAATAATCCTTTGGCTATTCAGGATCCCATGCATTTCCATATGAATCAGCTTTCTTATTTTTGCAAAAAGCCCACGGGATTATAATAGGAAATTGAATTTGTAGGTCATTTTGAGGAGTATTTCCATTTGAGGAGTATTTTCCAACATGCTGAAGCATGTTTTATGGTATAGGTCTATGTAGAACAGACTCTTTTTTCTGGGAAGGTACTACTTTATCCTTCATTTTAAAAGGATAACTTTGCCAGGTACAGAATTCTTGGCCGATGGTTTCTTTTAGCACTGTAAAATGCCTTTCTGCCTTAATGGCCTCTAATGAGCAACTGGCTATTAATCTTACTGAGGATTTCTTCTACATGTTGAATCACGTCTCTCTTGCTGCTTTCAAGATTCTTTCCTGATCTCTTGACAGTTTTATTTTAATGTGTCTTGGTATGGATCTCTTTGAATGTGTATACTATGTGGAATTTGTTGGAACTTCTTGGATATTGGCTTCATGTCTTTTTTCAGATTTGGTAAGTTTGAACATTATTTCTTCGGGTACTCTTTTCTGTCCTTTCCTCTCTCTTCTGGGACTCGTATTTATACTTAATATGCTTGATAGTGTCTAACAGTCTTTTGGTCTGTGTTCATATTTCCTTGTCTCCTCCTCAGACTGGATCATTTCAACAACTGACCTAGCTTCAAGTTCACTGATTGTTTTATCTGCCTATTCTCCTGTCAAGCCTAATGACTTTTCCAATTATTACTATATTATTATAATTTCAACTGATTCATTTTAAGATCATATTTTTCAACATCGGAATTTATATTTGACTCCTTTTCATAATTTTTAAAAATTATACTTTAAGTTCTGGGATACATGTGCAAAACATGCAGGTTACAGAGGTATACACATGCCATGGTGGTTTGCTGCATCCATCAACCCATCATCTACATTGGGTATTTCTCCTAATGCTATCTCTCCCCAGCCCCTGATCCCCTGACAGGCCTCGGTGTGTGATGTTCCCCTCCGTGTGTCCATGCGTTCTCACTGTCCAACTCTCACTTATGAGTGAGAACACGCGGTGTTTGGTTTTCTGTTCCTGTGTTAGTTTGCTGAGGATGGTTTCCAGCTTCATCCATGTCCCTGCAAAGGATATGAACTCACCCTTTTTTATGGCTGGATAGCATTCCATGGTGCATATGTGCCACATTTTCTTTATCCAGTCTATCATTGATGGACATTTGGGTTGGTTCCAAGTCTTTGCTATTATGAACAGTGCTGCAACAAACATACATGTGCATGTATCTAAAGTAGATTGATTTATAATCCTTTGTGTATATACCCAGTAATGGGATTGCTGGGTCAAATGGTATTTCTGATTCTAGAACCTTGAGGAATCACCACACTGTCTTCCACAATGGTTGAACTAATTTACACTCCCACCAACAGTGTAAAAGCATTCCTATTTCTCCACATCCTCTCTAGCACCTGTTGTTTCCTTTTCAATGATCGCCATTCTAACTGGCGAGAGATGGTATCTCACTGTGGTTTTAATTTGCATCTCTCTAATGCCCAGTGATGATGAGCTTTCTTTAACGTTTGTGGGCCACATAAATGTCTTCTTTTGAAAAGTGTCTGTTCATATCCTTTGCCCACTTTTTGATGGGGTTTTCTCTTATAAATTTCAGTTCTTTGTAGATTCTGGATTATTAGCCCTTTGTCAGATGGATAGATTGCACAAATTTTTTCCCATTCTGTAGGTTGTCTGTTTGCTCTAATCATAGTTTCTTTTGCCGTGCAGAAGCTCTTTAGTTTAATTAGATCCCATGTATCAATTTTGGCATTTGTTGCCATTGATTTTGGTGTTTTAGTCATGAAGTCTTTGTCCATGCCTGTGTCCTGAATGGTATTGCCTAGGTTTTCTTCTAGGGTTTTTAAGGTTTTAGGTCTTAACATTTAAGTCTTTAATCCATCTTGAGTTAATTTTTGTGTACGGTGTAAGGGAGGGGTCCAGTTTCAGTTTTCTGCATATAGCTAGCCAGTTTTCCCATCACCATTTATTAAATAGGGAATCCTTTCCCCATTGTTTTTGTCAAGTTTGTGAAAGATCAGATGGTTGTAGACGTGTGGTATTATTTCTGAGGCCTCTGTTCTGTTCCGTTCCATTGGTCTATATATCTGTTTTCATACCAGTACCATGCTGTTTTGGTTACTGTAGCTTTGTAGTATAGTTTGAAGTCAGGTAGAGTGATGCCTTCAGCTTTGTTCTTTTTTTGCTTAAGATTGTCTTGGTTATGCAGGCTTTTTTTTGGTTCCACATGAAATTTAAAGTAGTTTCTTTCTAATTCTATAAAGAAAGTCAATGGCAGGTTGATGGATAGCATTTAATCTATAAGTTACTTTTGGCGGTACGGCCATTTTCACGATATTCATCTGTCCTATCCATGAGCATGGAATGTGTTTCCATTTGTGTCCTCTCTTATTTCCTTGTGCAGTGGTTTGTAGTTCTCCTTGAAGAGGTCCTTCGCATCCCTTGTAACTTGTACTCCTAGGTATTTTATTCTTTTTGTAGCAATTGTGAATGGGAGTTCACTCATGATTTGGCTGTTATTGGGATATAGAAATTCTTGTGGTTTTCGCACATTGATTTTGTATCCTGAGACTTTTCTGAAGTTGCTTATCAGCTTAAGGGGATTTGGGGCTGAGATGATGGGGTATTCTAAATGTACAACCATGTCATCTACAAACAGACAATTTGATTTCCTCTGTTCCTATCCTTTTTATAATTTTTATCTCTTTACTGATATTCTTTATTTAATGATAAATCATTCTCTGTTTCCTTTAGTTGTTTGTCCATGGTTTCTGTTAGCTCTTTGAGTAGGTTGAAGACATTAATGTCCTCGTCTAGCAAGTCCAATGCCTGTGCTGCCTCAGGGTCAGTTTCTGTTAATTTCTTTCTTGTGAATAAGATGACTTTCTTGTCTCTTCATATGCCTCATGTTTTAAATTTTTATAAAGTGGATAGCCTGAACATTATAATGTGGCAACTCTGGAAACTAGATTCTGCCCTCTCCCCAAGTTTTGTTATCACGGCTTGTTGTGAATTGCAGTTTATGTAGCAGTGATTTGTTTAGTGACTTTTCTAAACTGTCACATGTTGTCTGTGTATTTATTCCATTAGCCTAGTGGTCAGTCAGTAGTTTGACAGAACTTTCCTTAAATGCCTGGAGACAAAAGAAAAAAAAAAGATAAAAAGAAAAATACTCTCCCCACTTTACAGACAGGTTCTCTATTGGGGAACTCTTTCAACACTTATCTGGGCTGTTTACCACTGTTTTAGTCTTCACTTCCTGTTTGGTCTGGGTGTAAATATTAATATCAGCAAGATGTGAAAGCTTAGAATCTTCTCAGGACTTTTCTGAACATGGATCCTGCCCTGGGTATGTGTATGTCCTTCTAGAGTCCCTGTTACATGTAGCATTGTTTCCAATTCCTTATTCTCCAAAGTATTTCACTATCCAGCTTTTCCTTCCAGGCTTTCAGTGTATGTCTATTTGTCCCAACTTCAATCTTTTCTCCAGGCAGCAGTGGCTTCTTCATTTACTTTCAATGCTTTCAAGAAACCATTCTCAGCACAGCTACTTTTTCACCTGAGAGACTTCTGAGTTACGTCAACCGAAGGCAAGACCCTAGATAGGTCAAAGCAAACACCATTTCTTAAGAATGAGGTCTATTCTGCTCCCTCCAAAGCCAGGAACCCACATAAGGAATGCAGGCTGCAGTCTTCAAGACCATTCCTGACTGGGGAGGAAAGAGGGTGAATTAAGATAAAATACCATTAAGCTATCCAGCTGAGTTTCAGTTGCTTTTTTAATTTAAGCATTTTCTTGTTTTAAACAGTGGTTTGGTAAACTTTTTTTTTTAAAACAAATTTCCAATAAAATGGAATGTGACAGTGTTTTTTTTTTTTCCTGTTTTTCTAAGGACAGGTATGTCCCTGGAATTCCTTGCTGTCATTTTTCCTGACATCTATGCATAATTTTTAATGGAAATAGATAGATGTATCCACATTTGGGTAAATGTGACATGATTTTCCTATTATGGCCGGAAGGTGAGATGCTTTGTTAAATCTTTGTATAGTAGTTGGACCCTTGGTATATGATATAAATATATGCATGTATTTCAGACATAGAGGAATATCGAAAATTCATAAATGGCAGATGCTCGTGAATTATATCATCAGGGAATTTAGGAGCTAATGAATGCATACTTGTACCCTTTGAGTGTGACTAGCTACAATGCTCATCCTTTTCCTACTATTAGAGAAAACATTATTACATATATTGGTCTGATCCAATATAGCATATTGCTGGAGTATGAAGAAGACCTTGTTTTACTATTTTAAACTTAATGAGCTCTGTGGACTTTGAGAACATTGAGTCTTCAAGCGTCAATTCAAGTATTTTGTCCCTACATGCTCCAGCTAATGTGTTCGCCCCAGTGACCAGTCCTTTTTAAAACACAATGTTTAATGTCACTGGTTGAAAAGTAATTTGTCATGCCTTATTTAGAATAACCACTCCCTTCACGTACCCTTAGGGAGGTTTGCTTAGGTGATAGCAAGAAAGGGAATACTTGCCACGCTCTACGGTTACAGCAACATCTAGTCGTCTCCCCAAATCACCATGCCTGCTGAATTGTAATTGACAAGGGATGTTACTTCGTGTGTAAAAGAAAACTGCAGTAAGCACAAAATGCTACTGGGCTTACTCATGTGAATATCTAATGCCAGGAACAGTATGTTAAGCAAAATGCAACAAGTTATTAATCAGATGTTATTACAAAATGAAACTCCTTTAGGTGGAATTTTATAATTGGGATTTTTCTCTCCACTGTAGTAGAAAAACAATTGTTAAACATATAATCAATTTTTATGACAGTTTGGAACGCACAGTGAATCTGGTTAAAAAGTGACACTGGAGGATATAACATACCAGGTACAAATCAATTATTCAATTCTCATTGTCTAGCAAAGGTAAATACATCGCATGTATGTGATTTTGCACGTTACATTCTGCAAGCAAACTATATGTTTGAGCCACTCTTTGCAATTCTGCCTATAGCATTTTCCAGTCAGTAACGACTTATGTTGAGGCAGTATATTTTGCTCTAGAATCACTTCCCTAATGTAACAGTTGTCTATAGAGAAGCCACAGCTTTTTAAAGCATGAAATTCTGAAAAAAAAATATTGTTTTTATCACTGGATGTAATTTTAAATGCTCAGAGGAAATTAGAAAATAAGAGCTAGAAAACCTTTACTAATATGGTATAGTAAAGTACTCCTTATCTATCTTAGTTATAGTGTCTGAGGATGACCTGACTTTGATATGATTAAAAGATTTACAGTGAGATTAGAGATAATTTGTAATATCATTTAATCAGCTGCATATTAACTGCAAGATAATTCTGAGATTTAAGGATACAAACAAAAGTGATTATAATTAACAAATGTTTAATACTTGTAAAATTTGACCTGAGAGTCTCTATGTATGAAGTTTTGAGTAAAATGTAAAAAATCTACAATGGATTAAGAATTACAGGTCAAGTTCTGCCTAGTGATAGGCAGTGATCAAATGATTAAGTTCATCTATTGCTTTTCCATAAACGTCATTCCAAAACTAAATTTATTCATCTAAGTACATGAACTAGGAGAATTTATGTTATTTTTAGTAACAGATTTGGGAGTATGATTATAAACTTACAATTATTACGTAATTTTCACTGAATATTATGTTTTGAAAAGATAGCATTCATCCTGCTAGCATACACATTGCCCTGGGATATAACTTGATAAACATGCCCCAGTAGGCCTTTATATTCCCATTCTTCATTGAAATTCACAGATTTAAGTAAGTAAACTCAATGGTTGTACACCCGTTTCTTGTTTGAGGCTATATAGCTGGAACTCCCAATGAAAACAATTCTCCATGGTCTGTTACTCAAATCTTAATGAAAATTAGATAACAAACCTTAAAAACAAAAAGCAAACACTTATTGAACTGACTCAAGAAGAACTGCTTTCCTAAACCCTAATTAATTTGGATAACTCCACAGAATATAAAAATCCATGTTTGAGAGTTTGAAGGCCTGGTTATAAACTTTATTTTTGGCTTTCAGCTTCCATTAGTTCTATGAGTCAGATAAAATTTACATTTCCTGACTAATTTACAAGGTTATTGTGAGGAAGAAATACCATAATGTATGTGAAAGTGCTTTATAAACTAAAACAGGATACAAACATAATAGTACATTACACTCCTATGTTTGTTTTCAAGAAAGCTTCATTGAATCATTCACTAATCCTAGGATAATTAACCTTTTACCTGGATTCAAAGATTGAGGATTTGATGGAAAGCTGGTTGCATAAAACACATGAGCAAAATGGATATAGTGGGTTAGGTTTGCTCGAAAATGGATAGTGTGTTAAGTTTGCTCTTATTTTTAAGTCTGGATTCCCAGAGGACATTTAAGTTTGAGAAATAACTCCTAGTTGTGGTATGTTGCTTTCATCGTCTGATGCCTTTGAAGCACACTGCTTTAATGCACATTTACTTTAGATTTAGATCTCAAGAAGGAGCTCTAGTCCTTGGTTAGGCATCCAAATTGTAGGTACCATTCATCCAGTTCCCTGTCCTATATACCTTTATCTAGTTATAATTAATAACAAAACACTATTCGTAACAGTGCACGTCCTTTATAACTGAAACTGAAGTAAGTTTAATTTTCAGTACATGACATATTTTCATGCATTTGCTTTATCCCTGTACAATACTAAGAATCTTTAACATACATTTCATAGGTTTTCTTTACTAACATTGCGGTCCTTTACTAATGAGTAAACAGCTCTAAAACATGAATTCATAATTACATTGTCATTTATTTCAATCCTGTGGCACACACTGAATATAACAGGCTTGAAAAACACTTTGATATTTCCTTTGTAGATTACTAAATGCTACCATTGATTTCTGTAAATTAAATTTACTAGGAAAACCCACAGTTTAAAAAAAGTACACAAGAATAAGCTAGCTGATCACAATGAAATGAATGAATTCAAAATAGTATAAAGTCAGGAACAGTTTATCTTCATGGTAAACATTCACTTTATGCAAATCCCACTTGGCTTCATTTAATTAAAAAGCTGAAAAAGAAAGAAAATTATTATGTGCTGAACATAGAACATAAGGAAAATACAATATGTTTGTTATTCCATTCTAAATTAGCACATGTAAATATAACATTAAAATGTCATAATTGTATTCAACTAATTGTAATTTTTACATCAGGGCAATTTTTCTAAACTAGTGCCTTTAACCAGATGAGGCTTAGGTTGGGAACAGGGTCAGGGTGAGAGAAGATGCTGAAAGC
The DNA here is from genome assembly GCF_000001405.40 of Homo sapiens. NCBI lineage: Eukaryota > Metazoa > Chordata > Mammalia > Primates > Hominidae > Homo > Homo sapiens. The sequence continues at coordinate 15,763,975 of NC_000008.11, read as the reverse complement.
TTTAATTTGTGGTTTAAATTTACATAGACATTCCTTTCATTGCTGGCTAGAACAGCAGTTAAATCAGCATTTAAAATGGTAATGTAGGGGAAATACAAGGGAATGGACTGAAACAAATGCGTGAAGTGGGTCATTTGAATGTCCTAAAAATATTTTTTCTCTAACCGTATAATTTAATCACTTGGTCTTTTGTTAATTTACAATTTCATCATATTGAACAACCAAAAAGAGTATACACAAATCATGAATCATAAAATTTCTGATGAAACATCAGCAGAGATACTTGTACATATAAAAGTAAAAGATAACTATGTTATTTTTTTAAACTTCCCTAAGCAAAGCTTTAATTTATGAAACAAAATTTAATTTTGTAAGATGGTAAATCAATTTAAATAACATTTATGAAGCTTTTGTTTACATCTGTACCTTTCTGCTAACACGTGGCATGTTCTTTTTGAGTCTTGACAACACAAGACAACTTTGCAAGGCAACCAGAGACAAACCAATTTTTAATTAAATATAAAAGCAAAAATGAAATTAATAGTTCTTGTACTTAAAAAAAGAAAACAAAAAACAACAACATCAAAAAAAAAACATGTAGCTGGAAAAATGTCCAAAGTAGGTAAGTTTTATATTTGGATGTTTAAATCATATCATCCTAGGCATAAATTGTTTCGTCTTTCTGAACCTCGGTTTCCTCATTAGTGAAAAGAACGTTTGTTTTGGATGATTCCCGAAGTTCTTTTCGTGCTAATATTTTAGGATTCTGGTGATACTATGTGCAAGAATAAATATGTATTTTAAAATGTAACATTTTAGTATAAAACATGAAATATATATTTAAATTATATAATATACAGTGTATATTATATAACATCAATTAAAATGTAAATAAAGTCACAGTACAATACAAACTAGAAAAATTACTCTTGTTAGCTGTTTCTGAGAAATTGTTAAATTAGAAGATAAAAATGATGTGGTGATATCAGGATGCAATGAGACGTCGCCTCTACTTTCAAGATAATAAGTAACGAATAAAGCGTACGATAAGGGTGACCATCTCCATGAAGAATGTCAGCAGTAAACCTTGTCAGGGCCTTAAGCTGTAGTTGCTGTTCAATCCGCATGATCCTTAAAAACACTGCTGGTAAAGCAGATAGATGTGCCAGCTGTACATGAACTGTGGCATTATGTTTTGAAAAGATAGCGTTCATCCTGCTAGCACACACAAGCCATCATCAGCTTGCTCTGAAGATGAAGCTAACTGAAGAATGAGGGTTAATGAAAAAAGAAACCTTAATCATAAAATGAACTGATACTTAAAACTAGGGATTTGTAGCTTTTTGTTGTTTAGTGTTTAAAGGCTCTGCAGATTTCAAGTTACGGAGCACTAAAGGTAATCTTTATTGCTGCTAACGATATTACCCCTGTAAAAGCAAAAATACTAATCTGATCCATACTGGTAATTTTATACCTTCTAACTTTTTAGCAGTTTTATGATACTTAGGTATATTCACAGTAAAAGGATCTCTGTGAGTACTTTATTAATGTTATCTTTAGTTATGCTACTGTTTTTTTCATTTAGTAATTTTCTTAACCTGGTGTAACAATCAGTTGTTTATATCATTATGAAATGATAAATATATATTTAATCTGAAACTGATTACTTGTTAGTTAGATGTATCCTTTATTGTAGGACAATTAGAGTACTTCCTATGCTTCTATCATTTTCAAAACTATCATTTTCATTTTAAATAGTTATAAAAATTTCTTTATTTGTTCAAGACACTGGAAACACTTGAAGCACAAAAATGTCAAAAATGTTTTGACTGGTTAAAACGTTTCTGAGAAAAGTATGAACTGCTGTTCTCTAATCAGTATTTCAGGTTTCACTTTTATTTTCATTATATAAATATTAAATTATAAATATTAAATTTCCAAAGTATGTTCCAGTATGAATGTTTTATATTGATATTATCACTCAAGGAATTAGTCTCTCATTTCTAAACAAGATCTGACACGTATTTTTTTCCCTTTTCACATTTATCTGTCTAATAAATACTTTTGCTTCTTAATCTAACAGTATAATAGTTCTCACAAACTTATGGTTCAGGAGTGCCTGGATATTGTTTTTTCTAATAATGCCTATCACAAAAATGTATAAATGCCTTCGTATCATACTTTTTTAAAAACAACTGTCAATAATGAAAACTGAATGTATTCCCCTGATGTGTGCTTTTCACTTTTGCGGTCTGCTTCCAGAATGAGTGAGAAGCAGCCTTGGGTACCACGATCAACTTCTGTGTGGACTCTGCTCCACGCTCAGTCATGAACGAATCGCACTGTAGTTATCCATAGTAGTAGTCTGCATGTGCATAGCACTGATTGCTGTGACTGGCTTATTCGCGTATTCTGAAGAGAATATATGCATGGTCAACTGTAACTGAGATAGTAATAGAAAATGGAAGCTAATTGGCAAGAGTAGCAAATCGCACACAAGGGATAAGATAGATAGAAGGCTAGGACTAGCACAAATGTGCCCCCAGAAGCTCCCACTTCCCCTAGCCTAAGAGAAGCAACCATTCCTTTCTAGTCTGTGTCACTTTATTTTTGCTTAAAGTCCATCAGGGATGCAGAGAGACTGTTTACACAAAGAAGAAACTTCAAACCGTTTCTCTCCTTAAGGCTGGCTCTCTCCTCAGCACTCCCTCATGGTAGAAAACCACAATTTAGATGAAAATGCTGTCTTTGATTTGCTAAGGATTAATATTCCATAGGTTTATTAGCAAGTTTATTACTTGAAATTCAAAAGATTTTTCTAGAGAAACACGCAAGTGTTAGCTATTTTCTTAATCTCAGGGCCCCCAAAAGTCTGTTTCAATCAGCATTTAACAACCATTGTGTACTAGATTCTGTGCATAGAAGCATGTTGCAGAAAATGAAATGACTGAAAGTCATGGCCCTTACATTTCTTTTAGCTAAAGGAAAGACCTGGGTGTGATTAAGTATGATACAGTGACATATTTGAGATGATGACGGTGTTACAAGAACTGAAAAAGCAAAACTCTGAGAACAAGTAAGATGCAGGGACAGCAGCCTCGACCGAAGAAACTGGATGAGGAAAGGTATGAAAGTATGGGAACATATTCAGTGCTGTGTTCAGCATGGCTAAACCGGGAGTTAGCACATTTTCTGTAAAGAGCCAGAAGGTTAAGTATTTTAAACTTTGTGGGCCATGGGTCTTTGCTGAAACCACTCAGCTGAACTGTCGTAGTGCAAAAGCAGCCAACACATAAAACAAACCTGGCTGCGTTTCAATGAAACTTTATTCATAGGCACTGATATCTGAATTTCATAATTTTCATGTCACAAAATATTCTTTGTTGACGTCCCACCCCCCAATGATTTAGAACTGTAGAAGCCATTCTTAGTTTGTAGGATAAACTAACACAGACAGCAGTTACTTAGTCTTGTATTAAACCACAGGGTGTACTGAAAGATACACCATAAAAAGCTGGATGGCATAAAACTTAAAATAGTTGTGGCAATTCATACATTGATATTACTACATAGGTGTAAAATCATATATATTGTAGAATGTAGTTAACTGCATAGGAATATGCTCATGATGTATAAAAGAAAAATAAGCAGCTTACAAAATATGTATTACATAATTCCCAAGGTTCAAAATATGTACAGGCTAAACTGATGACATTTGATGACCTGGGTGTTGGGATTTATGAATATATTTTCTTCATTTTGCTTACCTGTATCTTCTAGAAGGAACATGTATTAACTTTGCCTTCCTCTTTGTTATTAGCTATTAATGAATTTTAATGAAGAAGCAACATGATCAGCGCATATCTTAAAATAATTCTGACACTACCCTACAATAAGTGATGTATTATGGGGGATAATGACTAGATACCGGGAGACAATTTAAGAGGCTCGGTTATAGTCAGAAAAAGACACAAGGTACTCAAGACAGCAACTGTGGGAACAGAAAAGTAATGTAGGCCAAATAACATAAAGAAGGATGAGGATGAGGACAAAATGACTTCAAGATTTCCATCTTGTGTGACTGTGACAATGACAGTGTCGGGGAAAAGGGGTGGAGAAAGAGATTTGGAGGCAGATGATAATGATTTTTTAACGTAGTGAGGTGAACTGTTAATGTGGTATTCAGGTCTGGTTCTGGATGTCATGAGAAAGGTCAGGACTTGATAATGTATATTCAGGACTGAGAAATAATCTAAGAGAAAAAAGGAAGGTGTAAGAATGCCATGTTACAAAATCCAGGGTATGAAGTTTCCAAGAGGGGCTTGTCAACTAAAATGCTAGAAAGGTCACATGAAGAGAACTTTGGATTTGGTCACTGGTGGTTACTGGAGACCGAGGGTATATCAAAAGCTTGTTTGTTCCTTTTCCCTTCCTGTGAAATATCTGAACAGGTAGCAAATAATGGCTTGCTGTTTGTTTTGTTTTTTTTATTTATCTTGAATTAATGACTCCATCTGTTTCTCATATTTGGAAAACCCAGAATGTACACAGTGTTCTGGAACAAATGTATTCTGTCCAAGTGGAAGCCGGTTAAGTTCCGATATCCTCAGCTCGACAGAACATATTTGTGCACTGCTCTTCCTGTTCTTAAACTGGAGAGGAAGTCAGGAAGACCCAGTGGTTACATAATGTCACCTGTCTCACATCACTTATGTGGGTGGGTAAGGGGCAGCTGCTCAGATTTCATTTGGTATCCAAAAAAGGTGCAAACGGGAAAAAAGGTCTGGGTTGTTCACTAAGCACAGATAGGCCAGTGGTTGAATTTTCATTCCGGCCCATTGACCTTGTGGGTAGTGTAACTCACTGAGTCATTCTTTTTAATCTCTACTCTACATTCACATGTGTTCTATGAGAATGCTAGCGAGAAGTACATTGTGGCCCTTAGCTAGAATTCTTTAGCCAAAAGTCCTGGGGCTCTCTTCTCTGTAATAGAAGATTGCTAAACCCAGAAAAGTCTTTGAGTCTAAAACAAGTGGTCTTCTAAAAAGGCCTAAAGAAATCTAGGCCTTTATTGAGAGTAGGAAAACATCTCTGGGAATGGAAGCTTTTTAGATCTGTCATTTCATGGGGCAACAGCAGTCCAGTCTCCTAGTGCTCAGGCCAATTTTCTACACAGCCTCCACAGAGAGGCCTATGTAAAGTGTTAACCACATTTAACAATGAGGAATGACCAGAACATGGATAGTCAATCTGGGGGGAGAAGAACAATAAAACTAGAATGCAGGGGCTAAGGGACAGATGAAGAGCCAGTTCAGAACTCTTTTGGAACACAGGAGCTTCCCATTCCTTCCCTACGTTCAGTGGGTTGCTGAACGGTATGGAGCTTCTGCCAGAGTAAGAAGGCTGTATTACCACAATGGAATTAAGTCTCCAGAGCTGCTTTTGATGTGTTAGCCTAGACCCTGTGTTCTCTGGTCTTGAGGGGGTGGGATGTGCAGTGTGGAATCAAAAAACTGGATTGTGAATTTTCTGCAAAAAATTACTGTCAATTTTACATACATATAAAATTATATTTTTATGTAAAATTATATATATATAAAATTGACAGTAATTTTATATATATATAAATAAAGTACCTACTATCTGTTTCTGAATTTAGCAAATGTTGATTTTAAAAAAGTTTTCAGTAAGTTAACTGTTTGGAAGACTTGTATTTTTTATTACCCTTGAATATTAAGGCTTACATTATTTGTTAATGGGAAAAAAGATTTGGCTACATTTTTCCTAGATAGAATGAAATATATTTGTTGACTGCCTTTTTTCCCTAAGTGATAACAAACAGAAGTTAAGAAAGTATATTTGTTGGGGGTGGAAGCATTGCATCTGTCAAATGATTAACTCCACGTGTCAGTCTTTTGGTAGACATTTTTATCTGAGGACTTCTCCCTGTGGCAGATAAACATAATAATGTAAGACTGGAATATGGAATCTCACAGTTAAAAGTTATCTTACATTTGTAAAACAGTAATTTACTACAACTTGTCTTATGAGATAAATGTTATACTCTCTATATTTGAAAAATGAGGAAAACTGAGGCTCAGAGAAGATTAAAAGACTTGCCTGAGGTTATAGAGTTTTTAAGTGCCATGGTCCAAATCACATCTTCTCACTCAAAGTCCAGATCACTTTCCAATACACCACAATGAAATACAACAATATGGAAAAAATAATCCTTAAGATTGAATTTCCATTTGTACAATATTATTACAAGATTTAGCACTACATTCTTTATCTAGATAAGACAGGGGATAGACGATGGTGCCTTTACAGAATGCCAGCTTATCTCTTAATCATCTCTAAATCCTTGGACCTTTATAAGTCATTTTACAAAGCCAGGACTCAGCATGAGAAAGGTTGAGACCAGTGAAATTCTCATCAATGATGTGTACTGTGGGCTGATCATCACACCATTTAGATATTATTGTTCTATTTGTACAGCTTAAGGTTGTTAAGATGTACAAATCAATGCAAAATTGCTATACCCTCTACATGCTGGAATTTTTGCCTTGCTGTACTTGTTCACTATCATACTTTTTTCAAAATTGGTATGAATGCCTTTCATTTTTAGCTGTTATTCTGTACATTTCCTTACTGAATATCATTCCATTTTCATCTCAAGGTAACCAACGACATTAGAAACTATCAGTTTCGTTTTAAGACAATGGAAGCCACTTTCTGTGTCCACTGTAAGCTTAATTTATATATTCTGTTTTTCACTTGTTATCACCCAGCTTAGAATTGGAACTGCGATACCTCTTTTTTAAGAACGAGTTTTTTTAGAGACAGATTCTCAGTCTGTGGCACAGGCTGGAGTGCAGTGGCACAATCATAGCTCACTTGCAGCCTCAAACTCCTGGGCTCGAGTGATATTTCCACCTCAGCTTCCCCAGTAGCTGGGACTACAGGCGTGTGCCACCATGCCAGGCTAATTTTTTAAATTTTTTGTAGAGACACCATCTTGCTCAGACTGGTCTCAAATTCTTGGCCTCAGGAAATTCTCCTGCCTCAGCCTCCCAATGTGCTAGGCGTGAGGCCTGAGGTACCACGCCCAGCCATGATAGTTAGCTTTAGAGCTCGAGTTTGGGGAATAACTAACTATTTTTCCACACACCTTCAACTATGAAGAACAACCTGACAACTCCAGGGGGTGTCATTTGGTATGGACTGCATCTTCTGGAGCTGTGGCAAGCCAATAAGCCTCACTGTATTTGTATTTTAATGGTTCCAGTTGCATTTAATGGAAGTAGACAAGGAATAAAATTTTCAAGTAAACAGATTCAACTAACAAGTATATGATGAGCACCTACTATGTGCTTAGCACTTTGGAGATATATAAAAGGTTTTTATCAAAGACACAAATACCTTATAATCTAGAAAAAAAAGACAAACACATGAAACAACTGTAAATGAATACTTAATGAAAAACATAATGCGACAAAGTACTACTGAATAATCAGTTGCTGAAATGGCTAGTATAGCTGAAGAGGAGGTAAGTGAAAGTGAGTACTTTTTATTGAGAACCTACTACATTTCAGGGACTACGAACTGATTATATAATTTATCCCCATAAAATTCTGAGGTAGGTTTTATCATACCAAGTTTACAGATTAAGAAACAGGCTTAACCAAGTTAAATATAGAGAGAGAGGTAACTAGAGCTGCAGAAAAATGAGACTTGGAAGTTAAGTAACTAACTTTAAGCCCCAAAGTTAGTTAAGAGGAACCAAAATTCAAACCTGGATTTGTCTAAATGCAGAGCTAGAGCTCTAGCTAATACACAGAATTAAACCCCAACCTTGAGCTCGGGTCTTCTCCTAATTACTGTTATTTTTCCATTATATCATACGACCTCCCTAAGACAGAGTCTAATGAACAGTTAGGAAGCAAAGTGACAGAATTACTAGAAATGTCTCATGTCTCAAAAGCAGAGACTTGATGTATCTTAGATGTTACTACAGACATCTTCTAAAGGAAACTTTTGTGAGCACAGAGTGCCAGTGAAAAATATTGATAAGGTAGTTACCCATATGTGAAGAATATGATGTCCTTGCTAGCACTTTGCTCTTCTTAGAAAATGGGGCAAGCACTAAAGTTCATGTAATATATAAAATGAATTCATTGCTACTACTGAAATCATATTTCTTCCTTTCTGAACATAACACCTTCTACTTTTTTTTTTCTTTTTTTAAGAAAATCACCTTTAGTAATGGCCTTTAGGCTCCAGTGCCAAAGTAGTTGCTTGGGTGTTATGCCTCTGCCTTTTAGCCCTCAATGTCTTCATTTTGCATTTTTGTGAATTATAAACTGTTGTTTATAATTGCTGGCTCAGATGGTAATTAGATCAAATTCATAGTAACCCTACTATTTCACTGACAATTTCAAGAGACCCAGGAGCCCAACTAAGCTCATCAAAAGGTTCAGGGAAAATCTTTTCTTCATTCAACTGAATCATGCAACTATGAGACAAAACTACTTAATCTTTAGCGTAAAGAAAAACTTTTTAGCAGAAGATTAAATAAAAATGAATTTAAATATTTATATCAGAATTAATGATAATTAGCATCAAACATTTATTGAGTAATCAGTACTATGTACCAGGCAATGTGCTAAGTGATTTCCAAGCATTCTCTCATGTAATCTTTCTAATAGTTGAACGACATATGACAAATCATCTCCATTTATAAATGAGAACTTAGCTTGACAAAAGTTAAGTAACTTGCCCAAGGTCACACAGCTAGTAACGAGCAGGCTGGGTATTCCAATCAGGGAAGTTTGCCTATTAAATTTAAAAGACAATCTGAGAGAATTTAGTAATGGCATGAGACAGATTCATACGTAAACTGTTAAGGGTAAACTTTAGGGGAAGATTTAAGACTATAGGATAAATATTTAAAGTAGATTTTTATCCTTTAGCAGGTACCTGTGTCAGCAAAGAAAACAACAATTTTGAAAGTACTATGAAGTACTGAAAAAATATGATGAAGGGCATAGATGTTTAAGGTTTTGTAAGGCTTAAGATTAAAATAAAAATGAATAAGCCGAACAGGATCACTTCAGATAGAAGAACTTAAGGACTGTATTTTAAATAAAATTCAAAATTGTGAGGAAAAAATGTAAAAAAAATTAGTTTAAAGACAATTATGATCACGGTTCTGTACATAAAGATAATTATGGATACAGTCCTGTATATCAGTGGTACAACAGTTTATAATTCACAAAAATGCAAAACGAAGACACTGAGGGCTAAAAGGCGGAGGCATAACACCCAAGCAAGTACTTTGGCATTGGAGCCTAAAGGCCATTACTAAAGGTGCTTTTCTTAAGAAAAGGAAAAAAAGTAGAAGGTGTTATGTTCAAATGTGCATTTTCACTAAAGGGTAACTTAAGTGTCTTATCCCAAGTACAGGTATGATCCAAAGTAGAAGTAGGAAGCTTTCCAAGAGCTACTGTGAAGAAGAATGTGTGTCTGTACTAGCAGTTGATCTCTGCAACATGTATTCATGTTAAAATTGGGGAAGTCAAGGATAGAGTCTTGGTTGAGAAACTATTTTTCTCCTCTTGTCAGCCTACTTCAATGTATTTATTTCTGTCTTGGATGGTTGGAGTGGTTCAGCTCTTGGTCCCTAGAGTTTATGATTTACTATTGTACAGCCTAATGTTCTTAGAAAATGGACATCTACAAATGTCTTTGCAGAAGTACTAAAGGCCAGGAAATACCTTCGGGAGTATGTGTTGTGCGTTTTCCTCTTTCTAGAATAATTCTTTCCTGCATTTCATTCTCTCGTTTTCTACAGACTGCCTTTATCTGATGTGAGTAGTTTTTAAAACATGTCATATAATGCTGGTGCCACAGGTAAATGCTTCCAGGAATACCAAAATATTCTTTAACAACGTGGTGCTATGTTCACCACAGGATAATTCGATGGGAAAAGGTCTTTCTCTTCTTTATCAGTATCTCACCTTTCAACTACTATCAGAATTATTTCTTCTTCTCCTTCATTTGTTCCCTCTATTTGTTCCCTCTTTGACACTTGCTTTTGCCATCACATTTGCTCTTTCTTTAGTTAACTAATTGAATAGATATATATTTGCTTTCCCTGTACTGTCAGGTTTTTGTAATTTGGCTCAGGGTGTGTCCAAATCTCTGCTATATATCTCTGCAGTCTTTTAGTCACATTTGTTTTCGATGTTTGTCAGGCAGTTATCATCATCATTCACAAGAGAGTTGATAAAATAACTGAGAAGAAAACGAAAGCTTATTTAAGAAGGAAACTAATGCAATGGAATAAAAAGATGACTCCAAGTAAAATATATTATTACTAAGTTAACTTTAGCACATATACATGTGCTAGACTAACAAAAGGGATTAAAACTTTTTAAATGGAAAACTGGTTTTTTGTTCATAATGCTCCCATGTCCACTGTATTTTGTTGGTTTAGGAGGATACTGTAAATGTCATGAAGGGAACAGTTATACTATATAAACCTGAGAGAGCAAAATAATTCACGTATGAATGATCACAAGAAGGGTTATCTGTGAGCACCATAAGGATTTATGAAAGCTTGCTGAACAATTTACAGTATATCCATAGAATGTAGGAAAACGATTAAATGACAGTTCTCAAAAGAGCTGAACGGACATATTAGAAGGCTTTAATGTGATCTGGGAAGATATAATTAGAGGGATTTTTTAAATTGGACAGTAGAATAGCTGGATAACTAAGTCATGAAATTCAGATAAGAAAGAACAAATCTCAGAAATGATCTGAGGATACATGAAGAGAACATTATAGGATTAGAAAAAACATAAAAAGGGAATCACATCTATGTAAACTATAGCAGCTTTCATTAGTAAAGAATAAGATATAAAAATTACTTAAATTTGTTTAATAAGTAGATTTTGTCAGTGTCCCTTAGTTTTTATGTAGATTTCCTTTTGTTTCATTGCATATATTTGTACCAAGTTCAAGAATAAGGAAGTTTTTCCTTGAGTAAAATCGTCATCTCTTGAACTTCTGGAGCTCACAAGAATTGAAGAGGCCAAAGTAAGTTATTATCTTGGTGCTGAACATTTATCTAATTGTCAACATTTTTCTTAGAGGCTTTGGCTATCAGATTATTGAGGTCATTATACATTTGACCTCATGTTATTTTCAACTTTGATTCTGGGATAATTTTCTACTTATAGGAATATACGAATCACGTTTTTCTACACAAAACATGGCACAGGAGAGACAAGTAAGCAGAGTCAGATTTTCTGCTTCTGTCATAAAATAAAGATACTCTCTTGGTCTCATCTATAAAATGAATTTCAGTGATATGATCTCCATGATCCTTTGCAGTACTAAAATACCAGAACACTATGATGTTCTGGAAAAAATCCCAAAAACTCATCTGGAAAAATAATTATTAGTTTTGCAAACATCTAGAATTTGAATTAGAGAACTGTCATAAAATTCACCCAAATTGGTTAAGAATATTTCCTTTTGTGTATATATCTTCCTTTTCATATATTTCTTTCTGTCTAATTAATGTATTTTAAACCAGAAACGTTCACTATTGAGTAGTACATATTAAGGCTGTCACACCATAGCAGTATACTCATAATCCTCAGAATATACCATGAACATATTTCTCTTCCCATTCCTTTGTACACAAATTATGACTTTCGGCTCATGAAATACCCTCAGCCCCTCCTCTCTCCTTTGTCTAAATGCTGTGTTGAATTTTAGCCTAATTCAAGCCTTCTTCTGGAGTCTTCCTTTCTCAGACCCACAGTGATCTTTCTCACCTGTAAATTATTTCCATACAACAGATCTGCCAGCCACTTAGCTTGTGACACTTTATATTGTTATTCCCCGGTTCATGGATGTATGTATTTTCTCCAAACAGAAGATTTCACAGTAAGCACCACGGCATGTCTATAAAGCATTTAACAACTCAAATTTAAAACTGAGAGGCAATTGTGAAATCCTTTATCACTTAGTTCCCTAAGACAGGCTCATAAAATGGTTATATCAGATTTACCTGGGTAACTATTCACCTGATTCTTAAAACCCACACTTGGAGATTCTGACTCAGCTGTGCATGGTGTAGGAATAAGAAGCCACAGAGTTTTGAGAACGATCTCTTAGGATCAAAGATCTATCCTGCACACCTTTTTCCCAAATACATGAACTGAATTAAATACTACTCTGGTCACATATTTGGTGGTGTTAACTTTTATAGGTACTTGTCATTGTATTTGGCTTCTTTTGGATGTGCCTAAGAAACAGACAATTAATTTACATTCAGTGAGCTCTTTGAACACCTCCAAGGAGTCCAAAGGGTAGACTGGCTTCAAAGTTCTACTTAAATCAGACGCCCCTATACTGGGGGATGAAAAACTTAGCCAATCACTTCCTCCTAGAAAATTCACAAAATCATGTTGAGAGAGTGAGAACCGGTAGTATATATAGGTGGGAGCCAAAGGGACATAGAAGGCTCTAATCAGCTGAAGAGAACAGTATAAAGACATTACTCAGTAATAATAGTGGAAGGATTGGAGCAAGAGATTAGCCATTTGAGTTACCTCTGAAGCAATGGATTTCTGTTGTTGAATGACCTACTTTCTGAACTTTTTCCAACATCTGAGACACCTAGCTATGTGGCAATTAGGTTTTTTTTTAATTGTCTTCCTTGCTTCTCCATATCTCTCTCCAATAAACCTCCCATTACCTAAAATACCCTGATTGCCTTTTGGCTAGTTGAATCTAAAGTTGCCTAACAGAGCAACCCAAACTCTATTTAGCTTGCCTAAGTCAATCTCGTAAACCCACACAATAGCACAGGAGATGATGGAGCACTGTGAAGAGCTGTTATAGCAGCCAGAGGCCTGCCTGCCATTTCTCTACACAGCAGGTCACACTGTTTAGCACACCTGGTGTCCCAAGCTTCTTTGATAGGCTCTCTTCTGATTCTGTTTCTTGGCAGCTCCTCCTTAGGGTTTTCATCTAAACTATGTCAAATTTCATATTCACAAACCACTCTAAAAAATAATTTCCATCTCTGACTTCTTACAAGAGTTTCATCTATATTTCTAGCATTATGAGGCCTGCTGAAGGCAAATCTATCTCCTGTTAGGCTGGTGGGGAGCTGACAGGAGTGTGGGGCTGGTTACATAAGAAGACTGTTCAAATGCCACATTCACACAGAAATAACGTAAGTGGCATGTATGCTGGTTCAGATGTGCTTACTATTTATATCTATGGTGAGGCCAAGGATATGTATTTTCCAAAGCTTTCTGGGTAGTTTCTATGTCCAGCCTCCGTTAAAAACAACAACAACATAACCCCAGAGCAGTAGAGAGTTATTATACTAAATGACAACTACTACTTGAAAAAAAAAGTACAAACTAAAAGAAGTACAAACTTAAACTCTTCCTATCGTAACAAAAATAGGGCTGTCAAGTGCAACATTATAAAAAACTAGTAAAATATTTTTTTCTCCACTTTTCCTAGTCATTATATTGCTGTCAGATAATAATCTAGATAGGGAATGATATTTTAGTATCATTACATGCTCTGATATACAAGGAAAGTTAGAATTTGCCCTTTACCCTTCCCTACTTCCTGTCAACTAAATAGGGCTTAAGAATCTCAGCTGGGCGTGGTGGCTCACGCCTGTAATCCCAGCACTTTGGGAGGCCGAGGTGGGTGGACCATGAGGTCAGGAGATCGAGACCATCCTGGCTAACACAGTGAAACTCTGCGTCTACTAAAAATACAAAAAATTAGCCAGGCATGGTGGCGGGCACCCGTAGTCCCAGCTACTCGGGAGGCTGAGGCAGGAGAATGGAGTGAACCTGGGAGGCGGAGCTTGCAGTGAGCCGAGATCAAGCCACTGCACTCCAGCCTGGGCAACAGAGCAAGACTCCGTTTCAAAAAAAAAAAAAATCTCACAGTATCACTTACTGTATAGTTTATCTTTTCATAAAAAGAGATACAACATTTCCTTTGAAACTATAAGTGCTATAGATGAAAATGGATTAATTTTCAAGTGTTTTTGGCATCCTAGATAAAATACAGAGGATTTCTATTTTTCTTAATTTACAGTTTCCATTATAGAACACAGGCCAAACTAAGTACCAATCATACAAAAACATGATTCTCAATCCTAGAGCAGGGCAAAAGAAAAAAAAAAAAAACTTCATCTTTCTTGGATATTACTTAATCTTGGATTTGATTATTTCACATCATCAAAACCAAAATTGGCTGGCTCTCTAAAGTCAAGAGTAAAATGAAAAACCTGAAGACTCTGCTTGCCTCTCTCATAACCCTTGCTGCCCTCAGAACAGATATTTTTAAAAATTTACACTGCAGGCAGGGTGTCAGAAAATCTGATACCCACATTTCTTCCATTCCCTTGGTATATTTATTTTTAATGGGTGTGGGAAGAAGAGAATTGGAAATGTACCTCTGGCCACATATGAAAATAGAGGGGGTGGGGCTGAAGGGTCTTATTCTTGTATTATAATCCCAAAGTCAGATCTCCCTTTTATGGGATTAGTTTTTTCCCTGATAAAGCTATATATTGCTGCTATGATCTGTGTGGAAACGTTCTAAAAATGTCCACTGCTCACAGGTGGAAGAAATGTAGGCTTTGAGGAGCTTTTATTTTCTATCAACATATCACTGGTTCTACTACCTAACCAGAGTCTTCAAAATCTCTGAAAAAGGAAATACTGAGCTTTTACTCATTAGAAATGAGCTAACCTAAAAGAAGGACTCCTTAGAGAAAGAAAAAAATGTTAAGTTATTTAAGAAAACTTGAAGGAGGAAAAAGCTCAAGAATGAATATATGCCTAATTCATAAGCTGAACAACTGTAATCGGGCACCTCTTCTGTAGTGTGCTTTACTGAAACTATAGTTTGGTAATAATAATGCGGCCTTTGAATTTTCAATATATTTGTTGGTGAAAATCTTATGAGATACTCGTTATGATGATTTATAATGACCAGAAATTATTTTATTACTTAACTTTTCCCTTTCATGTTGGCTCTTATTTTGAAAAGTTAAAATTTTGTAGAATTCAAAAGATAATACAAAGTTTATTAGACAATGAACAGTGAATTATATGAGAAAACAATCTTGCAAATGAAGTCGAAATCACGACAAACTAAGGGAAGATAAAAATTTTCAAGTCCTCAAAATGAGCTTAAACCTCATTTGTTATATAAAAATATGTATGTCTAGAAAGAAACTACATGCTGTCAGGGAACAAGAACCATGCCTTATATCTCCTTTGTGTACTTCACTATGCTGAACACATGGCAGGTGCTCAAAAACTTGCTTAACTGAATTTAAAAAAACCACACAGCAACTTTACATTCATCCTTAATTATATATTAACCACTGAAACTCTGTTCTATTAGTTAAAAATAAAAACATTCATGTTAGTATAAAGATATTACCTATAAGGATAGCCGTGGTACTTGGAACGAAATATTGAAAGTAGAAAACTGAAGAAGAAGACCACCAGGCCCAATCCCACTAGGCAAATTACTAGAAACAGACAGAAAATACCATTAGTGTCTAAAAATATGCAAATGAAACCCCAATTGTTTATATTTTTAAATGCATTCAATTACAGTATACTTACATTTAACAGTTCATGGTACATACAGGTACAACAAACAGGTATTTGGATACAGGTATCCAATGTGTTCATTATTTTCCACATTCTTCTCAATGAAAATGTACTATTTGTGTCTTCTCAATGAAAATGTACTATTTGTGGTATGAAAACAACAAAATTGACTGATCTAAGTCTTCTGGAGGTTTTCTTCTTTTATAGAGTTCTTACAAGTACTAACATGCCCCAGAGTGATCAAA
This sequence comes from Homo sapiens, assembly GCF_000001405.40. Taxonomy (NCBI): domain Eukaryota; kingdom Metazoa; phylum Chordata; class Mammalia; order Primates; family Hominidae; genus Homo; species Homo sapiens. Next base: position 15,748,044 of record NC_000008.11, on the reverse strand, counting down.
ACAAAACATGTTATAAACCACAAACAAGATTATTGCCTCTTGCGTTATGAAGCATTGGCTATATTAGCAGGAACATTTGCATTGTTAGAATGCTTAATATAATTTTGATCTTTTCCGATGCTATGCAATAATTTTAGGTTTTTGGTTAGTATTGCCTCAGTAAGAGCATGTTATAGAAAGCAAGGAATAAAAGCTTGGAGAGAGAAAATATGGTCTAAGTGAAAACCAGAGGGGAGAAAACTCCCTCCATGGCAGGTAGTAGTGTCAAAATATTGTTACTGTTTGTCTTACAAAGAAACTGAGGACATATGTTATAGTCGAATGTGCTGCGGTCTAGGTTTTCAATATTCCTCTGTCCCAGGAAAGCTGAAAATACGAGCAGTACTTTATTTTCTCATTTCCTTTTTAGTATGATTGAGAAGATTTTACTCTAAAGCAGATGCATAATAAAATATGTTTCTTTTGCATATAGTATTTTGGATATTTAAACAAGATTCACTGCAGTTAGTACAATCTAAACATGCTTATAAAATTTAAATACTTAATCTGAGCCAATTAAAGTACGTTTAGAATAAAAGACAAAGATATTTAAATAAAATTTATTTAAATATATAAGTAGAAATTAGTGTTAATCTCTTAAGAAATATCTAAACATCTTTTAAGAACACATAATTTGCACAATACACCTTTTATTCACTTCAGAGAATTCTAAACAATTTGAAAAATATTTGAAGTTATTTGTAAAATAGAGAAAGATTAAAGCAGAAGAAAATAAGGAAAATCAAACAGATCTATATGATTCTATAATAAGGAACTATGATTTTTAAAATTTTTTCCAATATATAAACCAAACCAAGTTTAACTGCAATTCTGGCAATCATGGAGTACATAAGGTACGGCTTTGTCAAAATATGGTCTGCAAATGTGTCAATTTTTATGCAACTCTACAGGAATATCTTCTAAGTTTTGAATATGAATTGTGAAACAACACAAACATTTAATAGCATCCAAGTGTAGCCTCTGACATTTCATTTCAGACAACACTCATGCAGCTGAACTTCAAATGAATATTGGGAGAAAATAAAGCAAAAAATGAGTCTGTGAGTATCATAAAATAAAAAAAACATTTTTGAAAATTATAGAATATCCCTGTATGACACATACCAGGACCCAGATACAGCATAGTAACAACTTTGTTTATAAAAACCTATAATTAATTACAAAATTATTTACTCTATACTTCCCAAATCTGTCATTTTATCTAACACGTCTTTCTTTTCTTTTCCTTCCATCTCCTTTTTTATTTTTCAGAAGAATAAAGCACTCTTTTCATTCCCTTTGCTCCTTTTTAGTAGCCCCATTGGGTTGTGCTCTATCAGAAATGAGGCTTGAAATGTGTGATCAAGTAAGACAGAAGATAATTACTTGATCCTATGCAGTGGAACAAAATAATGCTACTCAAGTACTTGTATATGGGAAGGCAGAGGAACTCAGTGCAGGGAGGGGTTAATAATTATTAAAGGAACCACGGCAGCCACATGAGATACTACACCTGTGAAAATAAAATGCCATAATGAGGCAGATGCATTCTGACCTGGGAAATATTAATCATAGTAGTTGTGCCACATCAAAAATAAAAATCACATCAAAAAGGAATAATTTGAAAGTTTTAAAATATGTTTTCCAGCTCACTTTCATACACACACAAGCACATACACAACATGAATAATTAATTTGGGGGTGGCTGGGAGCTGGAGTTAGAGAAACAAACATCTACCAAGAGAGGAGTTGAAAACGGTGATTTAATAAATTGAGTATCATATTGCTACAATAAATATTGTAAGATTTAAAAATTTACTACAAATTTCTTATTTACCTTAAGACAGGATATACAATAAACACATAATTAACAGTATCTCCTCCACACAGACCAATGGAACAGAATAGAAATCGCAGAAATAAAGCTGCACACTCTCAACCATCTGATCTTCAACAAAGTTGACAAAAACAAGCAATGGGGAGAGGACTCTCTATCCAATAAATGTTGCTGGGATAACTGGCTAGCCATATGCACAAGAATGAAACTTGGCCCCTACCCTTCACCATATAGATGAAAAGTAAATGTAACACCTAAAACTTTAAAAATCCTAGAAGAAAACCTAGGAAATGCCTGTCTCAACATTGGCCTTGGCAAAGAATTTTTTTTACTAAGTCTCCAAAGGCAATTGCAAATAAAAACTGGCAAGTGGGACTGATTAATGAGCCTCTGCACCGCAAAACAACAAGACAGAGTAAACAGACAACCTACAGAATGGGAGAAAATTTTTGCTAGCTATGCATCTGACAAACATCTAGTATCCAGAATCTACACGGAACTTAAATCCACAAGCAAAAAACAACCCCATTAAAAAGTAGAAAAAGGATATGAACAGGTATTTCTTAAAAGACAGACAAGTGGCCAGTAAACATATGAAAAAATGTTCATTATCATTACTCAGCAGAGAAATGCAAATCAAAACCACAATGAGATACCATCTCACTCCAGTCAGAATGGCTATGATTAGAGTCAAAAAGCACATACCGGTGAGGTCGTGGGGAAAAGGGAATGCTTATGCACTGTTGTCGGGAATGTAAATTAGAGCAGCTACTGTGGAAAACAGTTTCGAGATTTCTCAAAAAACTTAACACAGTGCTACCTTTGGCCCAGCAACCCCCTTACTGGGTATACACCCAAAGAAAAATAAATCACTCCACCAAAAAGACCCATGCACTCTTATGTTTACTACAGCCCTATGCACATCAGCAAAAAAATGAAATCAACCCAGGTTGATTCCATGGTACATATATACCACATCAATGACGGACTAGATAAAGAAAATGTGGTATGTATGCACCATGGAATACTATGCAGCCAAAAAGAACAAAATCATCTCCTTTACATCAATAGGAATTCAGCTGGAGGCCATTATCCTAAGTGAATTAACACAGAAACAGAAAACCAAATACCTCATGTTCTCACTTGTAAGTGGGAGCTAAACATTGTGTACATATGAACATAAAGATGAGAACAGACACGACTAGAGTGGGGATGGAGTGAGGAGCGTGTAGGTTGAAAAATCACCTGTTTGGTACTAAGCTCATTATTGGGTGATGAGATCCTTACCTAAACCTCAGTATCATCCAAAATACCCATGGGACAAACTTATACATAAACCCCCAAATCTAAAATAAATTATTAAAAAAATAGTATGTCCTCATAGGCATAATTTGTCAATCCTAAGGACATGGTGTTTATTCAAAAGATAAATAAATAAAATTCAACATGATAAAGTAATCTCCTTTCTTTTGTAGTTTCTTTAATACAATAGATGATACCATAGGAAAAGAGGGCAGTCTAAACTGTGTATTACATCAAAAACATTTCTACCCCTAAGACTTTTAAGTATTTAGAAAGCACTATGATTTGTTTACACACATGTCACCCTAGCTAAAAACCCATGAAGTCTGGATTTTTATTTTAAATATCTTAATAAATACTCTTTTTCAGATACCTATACTGCTCATACATAAATTTTGGGTTTTAAAGAGAGTTCAGAAATGCAAAGAAAGAAAAAAATAACAGGTCTGTGGACATATCAAATCATATAGGGACTTGATATTAACTATAAAAAGGTCTGTGGCAGGAAACAATCGACTGTCCTTTGCTCCTCAGAGCACATTTTCCCTGTGTGTTCTTCTCTTTTTGCTAGAAAACTCTTTACTTCTCAAAAACCTCATATATGTTTTTCTACAACTCTGAGAGAAATGGTCCCATCAAAGAAAAGCCACAGAATTAACTTGCTTAAAAACATAATGCCGGAGAACTTGAGGGAGTTGTAAATCTTGGTATATCAATGGAAAAGGCAAAGACCCTGGAAAAGATAGTATCAATAGATGCCTTTTAAAAAATGTTAAAGGAAGCTTTGGAACGAATAGAAAGGTAATAAGAGTATCTCACTGTACAATACCTATGCAGAAGCTTCATCTAAGTCACGCTTTGAGCGCACCCCTGATTCTTGTAGCAGAGGGAATATGTTACATGCCAATAAAATCTCTGAAGACTCTGCCCTCAAAATTTTCCATCTCTCTGTGCCGGGTGGAATTACAACCAAGACTATGGCTTCAGCAGGGATGGATTAGAGCACCCTGACAAGGGTGAAGGACAGCTCCACTTTATAAGCAAATCAACAGAAAACGACCCAGTCCCCTTTGGAAGAAATATATTTTCAAGTATATGAACACATCCCAGCAATAGAAAAAAGTTAAAATCTTCTTCAAACCAGAACATTTCTTTAGAAGTTTGTTTACAAAGGGCTTTTATGTATTTCCCATTTGACTTAAATGAATCTTAAGACTAAAACGAAATTACAAAAATGGCAACACAGAGACTTACTCCGTCTTTTTCCAACATCGCCTTTCGAAGTTGCTGCTTCATTTAGAAGAACCATCCCCATGGTGATAGCGGCATCTGCAGTAGTTGTCAAGGAAGCCGTAGACATAGATGTGAATAAAATCTATTAATTTTTCTGGCTCTGAACACAATGTTCCAGAATGGTTAAACTACAAATGCACACAGAGGTAAATACAATCAATTACCTTTATATAACATAAAATTACCATTCTTTGTGAGCAAATATGCCTTAACTTTAAAAATTTATAACCTGAAACTTCAATTTGTGATATATTGAGAGGCTAATTCCAAAGGTTCTTAAATTCCAGGATTTTCACAGCACATATAAACTATATGGACTCTCAAAACCAGTTACCACATTTCACATTATACATAAAGATATGCACTGCTTATAGACATGACACATGTCATTGACACATTTCATTTTCATAACGTGTGTGTACACAGCTTTTTCTTCTAAAAGCATTTTTTCATAGATTTTGTTTAGTTGAAATCTTTATGAAGGTCCGGTATCATGTCACTTGAAAATCTGGGGTTATACAATTAACAATCTTACAAAAGCAGACAAGCATATTATAATAAAACAATTTAATGAATCTAGCAGGACCCTGAGCTAGTCAGCTAACTGATACCTTAAGAATGAGATCACAAAATTACTTGTTTTTAACACCTGCTTGCAACAGGATGGATATATTCATGCTATGTTGAATAATGCCAGAATTAAGAAAATGGGAAATTTTCATCTTCATAAAAACATTCTTTGCCATGTCATTACAACATTTTTCACATTGTCGACTCTTAAGATTTTAGAACTCATCAATTCTGAAAATATGTATTTCGCCCAAGCGATTAATGGACTAAAAATTGAAGAGAAAAATGAAGCAATTCTAGCCCAGAACCTCCTCAATTTGCTTAATTTCATTATGATTCCCTTGTGTTTCTTTCTACTGCTATTTGTGTATAAACAGCATCAATGAATCTCCTGTGCAGGATGTCTCTATCAACAAAAGCTCAAAGGACAGTATTGGGCAATATACCAGCAAGTGGAGGAGGTCAGAGAAAATTCTGCACAGAACATTTCCTCTCTGAGTCTTGTTTTTATAACCATATTATTGAAATTCTAATTAGTAATAAATTATAATGTTCATATTTGAATCTGTCTTCATGACCATATTATCCAACTTCTGGATAAGGATAAATGCCTGACTTCTCTAGTAAGGCATTTATGCTTCCATGACCTCTCTATACAAACGGTTTTTCAAACTATTGTATTTGTTTTAGCTTTGGAACCCTTTCTAGAAAAAAGGAAAATAAAGAAAAACCTATGTTTGGGAGCCTAACATATACAAGAGAAAAGCCCCTCCCACCATACACATACCATAGACTAGCACTAAACTTTTAGAGATCCATGCTACACAGCTTGAAAAACACTGAAATTTCTATGAAATTCCTGCCTTTCAATCATGTAGGCAGTAGCCTGAAAAGAATATTCTAAGAGAATGACTGTTTTGTATCATCAGTATGGTAGTCTGTAGACTTTAAATTAAATCCATTATTCTTAAAGTGTTTTGGACCATCTACTTGTATACATTACCCCGAATCCACAGACATGGGACATTGTTAATAACAACATGATAAAAATTAAAAACTTGTTTCACTAAAACTGTTCATATGTAGGAGATTTCTACTGCTTAAAACTCAGTTTTCTAGAGCAGATAGATGTGACTGATATGGATCCTTAACAAGGAGTTACTAAGTTTCCCCTTTAATCATTTTTTCTGCAATATCTTTTATATGCATGTATAAATTTTTATCTACACATTTAAATACACATATTTAAACTAATAATTCAAATAGAATTGCAGATTATTTTACTATGACTTTTTAATTTTTTTTTTTTAATTTTTAGAGACACAGTTTCACTTTGTAGCCCAGGCTGCAGTGCAGTGGCACGATCTTGATTCACTGCAACCTCTGCCTCCCAGGTTCAAGCGGTTCTCATGCCTCAGTGTCTCGAGTGGCTGGAAGATCACAGGAGTGCACCGCCATGCCCGGACAACTTTAGTATTTTAGTAGAGTTGGGGTTTCGCCATGCTGGCCTCAAGTGGTCTGCCTGCCTCGGTCTCCCAAAGTGCTGGGATTACAGTTGTGAGCCACCGCGCCCAGCTACTATGACATTTTTAAATATTCAAAACATAAATGGCATTTAAGATGAATTTATGTAGACATTAAAAGTAAAACATACATTCATTTTATGATTCATCTAATAAGCAGCTTCCTCAATTCGATTAATGAATCATGGGGGAAATGGCAGTATTTCTATTACTGGGGAAAATAAAGCCTACAAAATAAAATGTATGACAGTTTTAATGGGAGTAAAGCAATATATTAGTATGTTCTTAGGGTCAAATTTTATACACATATAAATGCACATGTACACAAACATGTTATCGGTTTATACACACACAAAGCCATGAACTCAGGGAAAAGTATATTTTACAGGGCATTAATTATGGTCACCCAAGTATAACATATCCCTATAAATGTATCTTCATATCATTTTTACTACTCTCCCTCTGTATTGTTACAATGTTGAAAACTATGAGTAACATGTTTCTCATTTGAATTGCTTAAATTCAAACAATGTGGTAACAGAAAATTACGTACATTTTCGTAAGAGTATACCATATTTTATTGCTTTATCTTACTGATGGCATTTGTTTCCAAATGCTTGCTACTATAAACATTCCTGCAAAGAATATATTTTCACAGGTCTCCTAGTGTACATGTGCAATATTTTCTCCACGGTCTATAACCATAAGTGGAATTTTTGAGAGGTTTGGTAAGTGTATTTTCAAATTCGCTACGTACAATCATACTGCTCTCTAAAATGAGCAATGTTAGTTCAAGTTTTCTTACATTTCACTAACACAATACTACCCAATTATTGATTTTATCAAACTGATAAGGAAAAGAGTTGTACGAATAGCTCACCACTTGGTTCTGAGCATCTTTTGATATGTTCATTCCTCTTTTTTGGGTTTAATCTTTGGCACACTGCTTGTTCTTTTTTTTTCCTCCCGTTTTTCCAAAAGCACAGTTGCTTTTTCTTAACTTGGAGGACAACATTTTTTTTTCCAGATACGAATTGACTGAAGTATTGCGTTCAGATTCTCCTTTATATTTGTATTTTAAATTATTCTGTCATGTAGAAAACTTTAATTTTAATGTGGCCAAATTTATGCATCTTTTCCTTTATGAGTTTTGGTGGTTGTTTCCTGCTTTAGAAATTAAATCCTCCTTCTAGGTTTCTAGCCTTTTCTCCTAATACCTTCAAAGCAAGTCAGGTAATAAGGAGATCTTTGAACTTGTTATTCCCACTGCCTGAGGTACTTTTCCCTGGGATGGCCATGTAATTTACTCCCTCACTTCCACTGGGTCTCTGTTCAAATTCAATCTTGTCAGAGAAGCCTCCTCTCACCTTTACTCTGATTTTTTTTTATTATAAAATTGTTTTTGAAAGAAATTTCAGATTGTATACGTTTTACAATGTACTTATTGTCTTTGTTCCAGCACTACAATTTTAGCTCCAAAAGGGCAAGAACTTTGTTTTATTCACTATCTTACCCAGTACCAATAACTCTCTGATGTAGACATTACCATCTGTTTACAAACAAGGAAACTGAAGCCCAGAGAAGTTTAAACAACTTGCTCAAAGTCACAAAACTAAAGAGTGAAAGATGCAAAGCAAAAAAGCACAAAAGTAATGAAGTAAGATGATATCAGGATTAGATGAAAATGATAACAAGCATTGGGCAAAGAACATAATTGCTAGCCCAGTTTCAGCATGAAATATCTTTAGGCTAAGAATAAAAATCTTCTTCATAAAGCACAGAGCATTCAAATACATTTTACTACTCCATAAACATATTCCAGATTTTACAAATAAGTTTGCAATAACTCACAAAATTGCCATTTTAAAGATGTCTATGAATTTACCTTTATATCACTTATGTTTCACGCTGCTTTAAATCATTTTTATAATTTACTATTTTTGTTGGGAGCAAATGCAGTAACAATATAGCATTTTTCAAATTATATGAGTTAAAAAAATATGCAGACTCCCTATTAACAGGGCAGAAATGGAACAGAAACCCCAAGTCAACATGAAAATTTTAAGATTTCAGCATGTCAAAAACCTCAGCAAATCATCAATTATCATTAATTATATGTGCCAGAAGTATGCTCATGAACTACACTCCTATAAAGCTATTCCCAAATAAATAAGGCAAAACATAAAATACTGAAAAAACTTAATATACATACAAAAATCTATTTTAGAATAATTTATATAGTGAAAAATTAAAATGTAAATGTCCAACTATAACATATGAGATATTTTTGTGACAGGTTAACTAGCCATATAAAATGAAATTGACAAAAATTCTTAATAACAAAGCAAGAGGCCAGGCGCAGTGGCTCACGCCTGTAATCCCAGCATTTTGGGAAGCTGAGGCAGGCGGATCACAAGGTCAGGAGTTCAAGACCAGCCTGGCCAATATGGTGAAATCCCGTCTCTATTAAGAATACAAAAATTAGCCAGGCATGGTGGCGCGTGCCTGTGGTGCCAGCTGCTCAGGAGGCTGAGGCAGAGGAGTTGCTTGAACTTGGGAGGCAGAGGTTGCAGTGAGCCGAGATTGCACCACTGCACTCCAGCCTGGGCAACAGAGTGAGACTCCCTCTCAAAAAAAAAAAAAAAAAAAAAAAGCAAGATATATTAATAGTAATTTTGTCACCATACCAAGTGAAAAGATGTATATGTTTGTATAATATGTATAAAAGTATATATAAAACCTGACTCCTTTAAAACAAATGCAAAGAAATGATTGCAGGGAATGAAAGATAAAAACAGTAACTGTTCACGGGTGAGTTAATAAAAGTGTGGATTTTTGTGTTCTTTATTGACCACAGCCTATAGAGCAGAAATTGCCATACTTTTTCAGGAAAGAGTCACACGTATTTTCCAGCTATGCAAGTCATATGGAGTCTGTTGCTATTACTCAACTTGTTGTAGTGCAAAAGTAGTCACAGGCAATACGTAAATGAATGGGTGTTTCTGTGTTCCAATAAAACTTTATTTACAAAAATAGCAGGCAGGTTGGATTGGGCCTGAACTGGTCCTAGTTTGCCAAACCCTGCTGTAAAGATTTTAAGGTGATGTCAAAAAAACTGTATACCATTATGTCTCACTGGAATTTAGCTTTATTCTTACTTGACAATTTTTTAAAATGCAAGAATTTAGTAAACATTTGTGCACACAACCTTAAAGTGGGAATTTTAAAGCAAAGGGATTACTAGACATAGGTTATATACAACCTCAAGATAAAATGTTTTGTTAGAAATCAGCGGGGTCAGTAAGTAAGTATGATCTCTTTCTCAGAATGTTTCTTGCAAAAGTGAGTTTTCTAAGCTTTAACAAGAAAAGAGCAGTGAGCCGTTTAAAAACCTGATGGGTGTAATTAAGACATATGAATTATACTAAAATGGCTTTAAGCTCGCTAACCCTCCCTATTATTTAAAGATACATTTTTTAACTCAAGGCCTTTAGGAGTTGAGTTGAGAATCGTTTAGCTTAAATTTCATTGTATTAACTGAAACATTTTTGGCTGAAAAAGAGACTGAATAATACTTACCATTTGGGGAAAATTACATTTGTAACATAAAAATCTTAATTTTTATATGCAGGAAGAAGCTAGATGATCATCTCTCACTGTTCTTACGTGGCATTTCTTTCACTGAGTGGAAGGCTGAATGATTAATGAAAGACCCTCCAAATCTGAAAAGATTCTACGTCTGACCAAAAAGAATGTTACGTTCTTTTTTGGTCATTAAATTGATGGGTGTAGCCGTCTAGCTTTGCCTTATTGGAATATCCCAGCATTAAAAGAAAATAACAGATGGACCTCTACCCTTTATCCTATACACACATACTTTGGCCTAGTTTTTGTATTACTTTGCACATTTTTATTGATTAATATCATGGCAATATATATTTAAACTACTGTGCACACTCCAGTTTCTTTGCTGATCCTGTTGATCATTTTCCTACTGCTTAGTCAAAATACTGACATGATCCCACATAAAAAAGCTGCTATTTGTGTAAATTACATACAATACCCAGAGGCACTGAGCATTCTACAGAATTAGTAACGAATATATTTACAAAACATTATAATCCCTTCTCAATTGCATATGCTAAGTTTACTGTTGCTACTAGGAATGGAATCAAGATGTTTTCAATTTAAAGATAGATAAATGTAAATAGACGTTGAAAAAAATGTTAGCACATTATAGAAGACTTACTTAAAGAATTCTAAATCTAAAATTTTCAACTGCATCTATCATTAATTTTTTTCTATAGTATGTTTCTCCTTGGATATAACACATTAAAAGGAATGTTTGCTCTCTATAATAGACTAGAAACAGATGCGAATAAAATCATATTCTTTCATAATAAATGGAAAAAATGTTTTGCTCACAGAAAATGCAATGTTATCTTTATAAGAATAAAAATTTTAAATTGCTAGTATAACCTTTACTTTTATATAAATAATTTTACTTCTAACTAATATTTATTTCATGTCATTTTCTTGAGATCTTCTAACTTAGGTCAGAGATTATATAGTTGACACTAAAGCTTATCCTAGAACTCACGTGTTCTATATCCACTCATACAGAGAGACCATATCTTGGTGAATTCAGTGGGAACATTACTGTCTACGGAAACTAATTTGATCTGGTTGAAATTTTAAATAAAATTTTAAATGACATAGTTCTGCCCCTCCTGGACTGACTACTGATTGATAGAAAAAAAGGCAGATTAGTTAGGACAGTAAAATCATACATATCTGCAAACATTTCTCTAAATGTGAAATGAAGATGCCTTTTTATTTTAGAAAACCACTACTTGTAATTACATGTCTGTTTTATTGTGCCATATTTATAAGTGTATTTAGTAAGAAAAGCAGATTTAAGATTATCTCATTAAAATCATACATGAGGTTTTGAATTTTAAGAACATTCTATAATCAAAAACATACCCTACCTTAATTTTATCATTTGATACCACAGTTCAAATTCTCTACTCTGGGAAATTATATAAAGAGTTTTAAACACAATTTTATATATTTCATATGCATACTAATTCTTCCAATTATGGTTTCAAAAACTGCATATTTTCACTTCATGATATTCCACTTAAGATCCATGTGCCTCAAGCCTGAGTCTACTGAATTTTGGACATTTGAAAACTTTTTAAGAACATAATTGTAAATGAAGAATTATTTGCACTGTCATTTGTTGTGTGTCTTCCTCTTCCTTTAGACTGTAAATGCCACACCATCAGACATCTTGTCAGGTTTTGTGACTCTTGTATCTCAGCACAAAGCACATGCACCTGCGTGTATGTGTGTATTTATGTTTACATATCCCCACACACATTTGTTTTTATACTGCTAGAGGATATTGTCTTCTGTACAAAAATACGATAGAATAACTAAAGAAATATCGCCGGGCGTGGTGGCTCATGCCTGTAATCCCAGCACTTTGGGAGGCCAAGGTGGGCGGATCACGAGGTCAGGAGATCGAGACCATCCTGGCTAACACAGTGAAACCCCGTCTCTACTAAAAATACAAAAAAAAACCAAAAAAACAAAAAAAAAAAACCCATTAGCCGGGTGTGGCAGCGTGCACCTGTAGTCCCAGCTACTTGGGAGGCTGAGGCAGGAGAATGGCGTGAACCCGGAAGGCAGAGCTTGCAGTGAGCGGAGATCACGCCACTGCACTCCAGCCTGGGCGACCAAGAAGTGAGACTCCGTCTCAAAAAATAAAAATAAAAAATAAATCAACATATCCACTGTATCTTTATTATGATGATCTTTTCAGATATTTACAACAAATAAACACAATATATAATTTGGTGAGAACATTACTGGCCTATTCACCACAGAGGTTTTGATTTATTGGCAAAATATTACTAAGTAGAAAAACAATGGGTTAAAAGTTTTAAGTTCTTGACTCTTCAACTGATTGGCTTTATGATCTTAAGCAATTTAAACAAATTAATCCCTTTCTCATCAACCAATTATGAGGCCTAATCAATCTTAGGAACTTTTTTGGGCTAAACATTGCCCTCCAAACCTTGTTCTCCTCCATATTTCTATCCTACAACACATAGCTGAACTTCAGAATCATCTCTGATTCCTGTTCTTGAACCTTACTTGTGACATTTATTATCAATTTTGTTTCTTCTTCCTCTAAAACAGCAGCTGAGTCACTCTCCATTCCCTTACTTAGGTTCATGCTGGAGGATGAACCATTGCCAGCAGCCAGAACGACTGCCAGCGACTCCTGCTTCCTTTGCTCTACCTTCTCTACCCTATCCTTAATATTATTACAGGAGCAAGCCTCCATTGGCTTTCTGTTCCCTAAACAGGCATGACGCTACTATTTCCCTTTCCACAGCCAAATTTATCAAGAAGACATGCGGGGCTCAACCTCATAATACTTCAAAAAGAATTCGTAAGTTACCCAATGCCAAATATATAAAATTGGCATATTAATTGCACTGCATCTACTACGTGTAGCTAAGATTCAAATTTCTCAGCAAGGTCTTCATTATCCAGCCTAACCTAACTTTCACCAATCTCCTCAAAATTTGTATTCCAGCCTTGATGAATTTATCTTCCTGCAATAAAGAATATTTGCTGTCATTTTGATTGTGTACCTGTTGTATCTTCTACCAATATAGCCTCCTTACCCATTTCTCTGTCTCTGAAACTTTTTATACTTCAATATCCAGCTGAAAAGTCAGTGCCAATTCTCTAGACAGGGAGTTAGTTCCTCTCTTGCTACTTCCTTTGCCTTCGCATACATTTGTCTCACTGTATTATAAGTATTTTTCTGTCATCCTACCTTTCTGTAAACAGCAAGTATCTCATTCACATTTGCATTAGATGGTGAAAGCATTAACAAAAGGAAAAATAAATGAAATAAAAATGAATTTTTACTTGCAAAAATATAAAGCCCTATGTAAGTTATTTTTAGATGGTTTATATTCCATATTAAAATATAATGTTTCTTATTTTTTCATATAGTTTTCTCTCAAAGACTACTTAGGATTGTTTTCTTAAATAAGATACTGAAAAAATAAAACACTACTGATATGGAGATATTTTTATTCTTAGTAAATATAAATCTATAACCTATGATACAAAATGCTCCATCTGTTTTCTCTTATGATTTTTTCAGCAAAACTTTGTATATAGCAACTGCATCTGATAATCTGACTTACTAAATTGGGACAAGAAATCCAAAAGATAGAAATGTTCTCTCTACAGATAAATGAAAAGTAATCATCTGGTATTTGTAATTTTTTGCCAGAAGAAAACAAAATACACAAATTACAAAGAAAATATGGATTGTTCAAAAAGTAGCAGTAGACTGTCAAATGAAACTAGAATCAGAAATTATTGAAAAATAACTTCTTTTTTGGAGACGGGGTCTCACTCTATCGCCCAGATTCAAGTGTAGTGTGTGAGCACAGCTCACTGCAGCCTTGACCTCCCGGGCTCAAGTGATCCTCCTGCCTCCGCCTCCCAAGTAGCTAGAACCACAGGTGTATGCCATCACATCTGGCTAATTTTGTAATTTTTTGTAGAGACAGGATTCCCCCTACTGTTGCCCAGGCTGGTCTCAAACTCCTCAACTAAAATGATCAGCCTGTGAAAGTGCTGGGATTGCAGGCATGAACCACTGTGCCTGGACTTCTTTTAAAGTTTCACTGATAATGAGTCCACCATTTTAAAAGAATTTTTCTCTTTCTTAGTAATAGATATGTCTAAAATAAAAAACACAGGAAAAATGAAGCAACAAATAATGACTATTAGCATAAAGAGAATACAGACTTTTAATTCTTTTATGTATCACTGCTAAGATCTATATGAAAACATTCACACTGCTTGTGAAATTTATTTGAATCCTAAATCTCAGCTTGATGTCAATGATCCATGAAATTAAACCTTGGAGAATTCCTGCCATACAATAAAAGGATGATCTCAACACAGCTTTTCATCCTTCAGCTCGGTATTCCTGATGTGTTTCGATAGTCATCACTTTATCCAGATAAAGTATACTGCTAAGATGCTACATCATGGATTGAAACAAGTTAGGAAAAAAAAAAAAACAAAAAGAAGCTATAATATTTAAATAAATGAGTTAAAAACTTACCTGCAACAAATGCTTTATGTTTCTATCCATTTGCTTTAATGTTAACATGTTTTGCTTCCTGAATATCTTTAAATAGTAAGTCGAGAGTAAATACAGCTTTGCCCTTATTTTTTAATAGAGAGGAGTAGATATGTCTATAAACATATACACAAAGACTTCCTTTTCTCACCGAAGGCACCTCTGATGTGCAGAAAGCATTAATCTCTTACCATATTAAAGCAGGTGTGCAGAAACTGAGCATTTGTTGAAAAATACAACAAAATTTGTATTTCCAGTTCCAGTCTATGAGACAAACTAGAGCCAAACAAGTACTCCTCACAGTAGTTTCTTAATTTTGAAACCATAAAGCATACAGGCAAGTAAGTAAATGTAAGCAAGAAATGGGCTGCAGATGTGCCCAATTTCACGTATGTATCCAAGCATGCATCATCAAGGGTGGGAGAAATAAAAATGTTGAGAATGGAGACAGACACAGGAAGAAGATGGTCAGTGGTGTTCAATGAGTTTCAGAAAGGTATCTTTTCGTTCTCCTGCAATATAAACGCGATTTGTAATCTTGTTCTTCTCAACTTCATTCCTTCGTTTTCATTAAAGCTTGAAAAACAATGCCTTTGTATTACCTTATAAGTTATACAATTTAACGGGTTCAAAAATGTTGCTCTAGAAAAATTAAGTCATTTCAATGTTTACATTTCAAGTTTTAGAATTTTGATAAATTTTATTAGAAGATGATTTTTTTTTTCCTGGTCATCTACACCTTTGTCAAAAGCTAGGTGTATTTGTTCTCACGCTGCTAATAAAGATATACATGAGCTTGGGTAATTTATAAAGAAACAAAGGTTTAACGGACTCACAGTTCCATATGGCTGTGGAAGCCTCACAATCATGGTGAAAGGCACATCTTAGATGGAAGCAGGAAAGAGACAGCATGTGCAGGGGAATGCCCCTTTATAATACCATCAGATCTCATGAGACTTACTCATTATCATGAGAACATCATGGGAAAAACCCACCCCCAAAATTCAATTACCTCCCACTGGATCCCTCCCATGACAAGTGGGGATTATTACAATTCAAGGTGAGATTTAGGTAGGGACACAGAGCCAAACCATATCACTAAGGAATCAACCCATATATACGTATTTATGCTTATTATCTGTGGCCACCAAAGTTCAGAGTAAGAAAGAAGGGAAAACAGAGGAATACACCAACTAGCCTTTTGTGATTATTGGATGCTTAATGTGTGCTATCTCATTTCTTCACACAGAAATCCCGTGTGGTCAGTATTGCTAATCCTGATTTTACAAACGAGGAAGTCTTTGAGTTTCTTGAGAATTCCAAGTGCTTCAAACATTTTCCATCCCTTTTCCCCACCATACCGTAATCACTATATACCACCACTTGATGCAGTGCCTAAAACACAGTAAGCAAATAAAATAGGTTGCTTGAATAAACTGAAGGGGTCAAATAAGTCTTTGCCAGTAGATTTTTAAAAATGCATTGTTATGACACAACAAAGTAATAAAATCCAAAAACTTCAATGTTGTTAAAAAGATAGTATTTTTCCTCCAGATTAAAAATAATAGGCATGACTAACATTCATTGGTGAAATGATATGTCACACACCATAATAAAGTATTGTACATAAAACTGAAGTACTTGAACACAGGATAGACCATGAAAAAGACAACTGAATTCTAATTCTAGCTCAAGTGGGCTTCCCTAACATAAGCCCTTTGTGGGCTCTAGTGTTCCTACATATAAAATGAGGTTTGGCCTAGATGAATTCAAAGATAGTTAAAGATTTACACCTTTGGTTATATACAGTACTGGACAATTTGGTCTAGACTACACATTTGAATATGAATCTTAGTAACCAGGATATTAGTAATCAAATTTTATAAAGGATACTAGAGGCACACGTTACATTCTCATAATGAGAATCAATGTTCCCCCAAAACAGTGTCCAAACTAATTTTATTTCATTCTAAGAATATTCACATTAGATGCTTAACCTTACCTTTTTCTTACCCTGCTACTATTTTTTATCCTGTTACATTCTTCATCCTTCTAACTCCAAATCATAAATTACATTGTATGATCTGATTCACAACACTTAGTCTGACTCACTCTGATATGTTCCAAAAAGGCATGTTGAACCACTCTAAATCTCCTTCTTCTGACATACCATATATTTAAGGGGAGCAGTACGAAAATACCTTTTTTAAGCTGCTATTTATATCATAAGGCACTTTTTTCTTGCCATTAGGATGCTATACGGAAAAGCCATATACACTTGAAAAAATCTAGCCAGAGATCATCAATGTAGAGTAAAAGTAATACTCTGAAATTCAACACTCAGTAAAAAAAAATTATGATCTGTTAATGATACGGAATAGCAACAAATTATACCGTAATAGGAAATAATTAGCATAAAAAATAAAAATTAGTCATATAGTACAGCCTAAAATTTAATGTCTCTTAAAAGTCTTGATATTTACTGCCAGGAAAAATGTCAATTTAAAAACATGTAGCTTTAGTTTGCCCTTTTCAATTCGTCGGTATCTTAAAAGGATACTCAGTACCAGAATAATGTGTGATTCTGCCACAAACTGAGCCTGGCTGCTCCCATGAATGTAGCTCTATAAAAGAAGACAAACAGAAATTACAGTCTGAGAAAGCCTCATAATTATTTTGTAGTTTTAAGTCATGAAGATAAACAATGGAAAAATCTAATTCGATTTTTACTAATTTTTTATTACTTTCTACTAAGTTCCAATTATTTTAAATGATTATTAGTTAAATGCAAATAGATGACAATGTTGGTTGATGATACTATTGTAAACTCTAGGTGGCAACTAAGTATCAAAAGCAAACTTAATATAACTTGTTAAAGGATTTATCACAAACATACACACATAAAATATGATTCCTGTAGAGGTATTGCAAAAGTACAAAATATAGCAAAACATTTTTATGATTTTTCATCCTTTAAAATAAGTTAGAAATGACCAAATGTCTAATCACTCCTTTCCACATTATCAAAGTTTTTAAAATACGGAGTCAGCTTTATAAATGCACATAATTCATTATAGCATTTAAATTTTTTCAAAACAAAATTATTAAAATTGTTTTCACCCTACTGAGTAGTATATAGTTGATAACAGTTGATTATAGAAAATCCAACACAAATCTCCATCTAGATTATTTGGCTTCTAAATTGATTCCCATGATTATTTCTGCTGATAATCTCTCTTACGAATATCAGTGACTGTGCAGTTGTTTTAAATAAATGTCCTATTTTCTATTTATATAAAAAAACTGGAGAAAAAAAATAACACCTTGGAGTATAAATCAATGCCTCAACTTTTACATCATTTATGATGTATAATTGTATCACATGCTTCAGATAGTTTTCTGAAGGTATCTTTTTTTTTTCTCGTCTTCAAACTTTTTCAGGGGGTACATGTGCAGATTTGTTACATGGGAAATTGCATGTCGCCGGAATTTGATGTACAAATGATTTTGTCTCCCAGGTAGTGAGTAAAGTACCTGATAGGTAGTTTTTCAATCCTCACTTTCCTCCCACCCTCCAACCTCAAGTAAGCCCCAGGGTCTACTGTTCCCCTCTCTGTCCATGTGTACTCAATGTTTAGCTACTACTTACAAGTTAAGATGTGGTACTTGGTTTTCTGTTACTGCATTAATTTGCTTAGGATAATGCCCTCTTGCTGCATTCATGTTGCTACAAAGGACATCATTTCATTTTCTATGGCTGTGTACTATTCCATGGTGTATATGTACCACATTTTTTTAATCCAGTCCACTGTTGATTGACAATCACATAAAGTAGTTATTACCTGTCATCTTCCAAATGAGGAAACTGAGACTTAGAAAAATTTACCTAACTTGTTCAAGATTGCACAACTAGTAACTGATGAAGTTTGGACTGAAACCTAGGACTGTTTGTATAGGTATGTATGCCCTTTCCACCACATAGTAACAACTTACCAAAACAGAGGAGGAACGTCAAGTAAAACTTTGTAAAAACTTTAATTAAATGTTGACAGTTAAAGTAATTAACATCAATATTTACATCACTGACTAACATATCTGAGTTTAACAGTACAGGATAATATGGCCAAATTTACGTAACAACTGCAAAATAGTTTGCCTCTCTGAAGATCACAAATTTAGAGAATAACTTCAGACGTCTTCTAGGTGAGTGATTTATAATCTCTTCTGTTTATTTTCAGTAACAGTATCTTCTCTGATCAATCTTTTGTCAAGGTCATCAATGGACTCCCCCATTACCAAATCCTATGGTCATATCTCAATGTTCCTGGCCTTAATCTACCTGAAAAATCTGCTTCATCTGACCACTCATTCTCTTTAATATTTTCTTCACTTGACTTCCAGGACCCCAATCTTGAGGATGAGTCTACCTCATTGGCTCCTCCTCCTCCGGAAGGAGAAGGCTGTTCCTTTCCTTCTTTCTAGACTCTGGAGTATCTCAGAGCTCAACAGGCTTAGGCCTCTTCTCTCTACTCAGCCTTCCCAGGTGTTGTCATCCAGTTTCATGGCTTTAATTATGTCTATATTGATTCTCACATTAGTATCTAATCTGATATACTGGAAGTCTGATAACAGCTAAAACGAAACTCCTGATATCCCTTTCTATCCCAGCACCTGCTTCTGTCCCATTCTCCCCTAACTCAGGAGAGTAACTTAATTTTTCCAGTTGTTTAGGCAAAAATCCTGGAATCACCTTTGTGTCTCTGTCCTTACTTTTCTTTCACTCTTTTCCTTGCCTTTATTCCCTCCTTCTCTCCTCCCTCCCTCCCTCCCTCCCTCTCCACACATCCAATCATTCAGAAAATACTGTTGGCTCTACTTTCAAAATCCATTCCAAATTCAACCACTTTTCACCGCTACCAGGAAGAACTAGGAAAGGAGGCTAAAATATAAGGCCCAAAGATTTGTCTGATCCAGCCACTCATCATCTCTTGCCTAGATGATTGCAATAGCCTCCTTTATTCTCCCTGACTCTACCCTAGAGTTGATCTGTCATTCAGATGAATACTGTCAAAACTATCCTATCATTACTTTGCTCAGAACCCTTCAATGCTTTCTCAGATGTGTGAGAAAAACATCATATCATGTAATGCATTTTGTATTTCCAGTCACAATAACAAGAAACCTATGTATTTCTTTTCAATTTAAAAATGCAGCCAGGTTAAAATAAATCACACTTTGTCCTTAGAGACTTATTTCATGAAACTGATCTATAACACTTGTAGCTTATTTCTTGTATACATAAGGCAGGAGAGAGGAAAGGCTTTAGAGACAGTCCTGAATTTGCCATCTACTAACTGTGTTATTATGAACAAACTACTTAACCTCAATTATTTTTAAAATAGGATTAAGAGGATATTCCTCAAGATACTTTACTAAAAATCAAGTAAGATAGTATGATATACAATAGTGTAAGTGATCAAATGTAATCAAACAAATCATTTCATAGTTTCCACTTCAACAAACTTTGTATCTTGTTCACTTGATCTTAGCCAAAAGGCCGAGAAGCTGTTTCTATCTTCTAAACAAACAGCATTCAGAAATTCATTTCCTTTTCACAAGTGAACTTAGTGTGCTGAACTGATAGTTTTAAAATATAATATTCAGGAAGGTATACTAACATTTGACTTTTGTACTTCTTTTTTTGTGTGTGTCTTCAAAATCACATCAAAACCAGATACCCTACGAGCCTTCAGGATTTACTTAGCTTGAATTTGTTTGCAAATTTTTAATTGATCAATTAGTATGTATCAGGCACCAATTCAGGCAACAGAAATCCAGCAGTTATAGGAAAAAATACCTATATTCTCAAGCAGCTTACAAATTACACAAATTACAGCTACACAAATTACAAGAATACATTTTGTCTACTAATGTGCAACAAAGAGATTACTGGCACACACCAAAAGCTATAAGAGTAAGCACAAGAATACCAATGAGTAAGTATTGCAAAAGTCTTAAGGATTGACCTTAGATAGTTAGCTTTCATTTATGGGGCCCCTGCAGCAATGACTTAATTCACCTAAAATTAACCTTAGGTCTGCGATTTTAAGCTGGTCTTAAAAATTTGTATCTAACAGATGCATATACTTTCAAAATCCTTTGAAAGAGGGAATATTGACTAATGAATTCCCTGAAAGCTAAAGCATGATGTTCATTTATTTATTTTCCTCTCTGATATTTTACTAATTCTCATGAGTGAGGGACGTATCAGTAACTCAGGATAATTTATTCTAAAATATATATTTAACTAAGGGCAATGCATTTTCAGATCAGGTGAATAGTCAAGAAAAAAATGTGTGCAGGCTTTGATAATGGATACCGATCAATTCTTCCAAAGGAACAAATATTTTGAGAAACCATTAATATAAATGTTTTTTAGTTGTCTAATCCATTGAATATTTCTTTTCTTTTTCTTTTGTTTTTGAGACAAAGTTTCACGCTTTTCACCCAGGCTGGACTGCAGTGGCATGATCTCGGCTCACTGCAACCTCCGCCTCCTGGGTTCAAACGATTATCCTGCCTCAGCCTCGAGAGTAGCTGGGATTACAGGTGTGCACCACCATGCCTGGCTAATTTTTGTATTTTTAGTAGAGATAGGGTTTCACCACGTTGGCCAGGCTGGTCTCAAACTCCTGACCTCAAGTGATCCGGCCAGTTTGGCCTCCCAAAGTGCTGGGATTACAGGCGTGAGCCACCGCACCTGGCCCCATTGAATATTTCATAGAGCATATGAACCAACATAAAATAAAAAGTGATTCAATAAAAAAAGGTTCATAAAAATAAGGTTATAACAAAATTCATTACCATGACTCATGACTTACTTAAAGCCCAATTTTATGCAGAAGACAAATAGCATAGCATAATATGAAAAAACAATATATATGAATGATACTATGTTCTTAATTTCAAGTAACATACTTGAAAATAAAAAATTATATATTTTGTTTAATATTAGTGTTTCTATACCTCTTATATGGCAATATCAAGAATGAATAAAAGTAAAATGGAAATTAAGCTAAATATACTATATATCAGTATGTGAAATAAACCTGATTTTACTTAAGTTATTACTGAATTCTTGGGAAGATGACACCAGTCAGTACGTTCTGGTTTTTCAACATTTTTAAATTGTGCTAGTGGTAAATACTCCTTGAGGAGTCCTTTTAAACACGTAATGTTCCGAAAATAAGAATGGCTATGGTGGACCAAAAGGTTACTTGAAAAGAGAGCTAGGGTAACAAAAAGCAAACTAAACTTAGAAGTCAGTTTCCAGTGTTAATAATAGCCATTCAATTTAATGAAGTAGTTGTTACTTAATCAGTTCAGTAATTTGGGCCTCAGTTTCCTAATCTGCAAATTGGAAACTGACAGCATGAAGGAAACAATGTAGTGCAGTACTTTATAAAATCGATTTTAGTCATATTCCCTGAAGTCAATTCTCTGTCCTGGGTTTCATGAGTAAGACCTTTAGCAAATTACTCTAAACTTCAAATTGTTAAGCTCTTTGATCAAAATAATAAAATGTGAGAAGTGAATTGATAATACATGTAAAATGGCCTAATGCCTGAAACACAGCAGGAAGCCAATAAATGTAATCTACCGTCATCATCATCATCATCATCATCAGTCATCTAAGATTCAAACGAGATTCCAAATTTTAATGTCTTAGGTCATATGACTCACAGATGGTAAAATTAATCTCCACTGGTTGATGCCCACTGTTAATTCAGTAATAGCAAACTATATCTGAGTTAAATTCTCTTGCCAGTGAGTAATTTGTTTTTGTAAATTTATGCAAGTCCCTTATATACCCAACCTGATATTATCAGCCTTGAGAGCAAAAGATACTAACAAACGTGTTTGATTAACCCTAACAATGACTGCTTTAGTTAAATGGGCTTGGGATCAAAAGTAAATTATAATATAAGCAGAGTGCAAAAAGTTGTTCAGTAATACATATATGCCAGAAAATAGCTATTTTGAAGACAATAATACACAGGGTTAAAATTAATTATTTCTCTTTTATTCACTGATAAAGCAGTGCTGGCGTCTCTGCTTTGGCATATAATCCTTACTAAAAAAAATTAAAAATGCTTCCATCAATCCCATGAAATTTTGGAATTTTGATCATTTTTAAAATTATAACTTATTTTAAAAAGAACCATTTATAACATTAAGTAAATGACAAATGAAACTAAGATTTGACAGTGTTGGATGATACCCAAATGATGATTTGTCTCAGTTTGGGTCAAATCCACAAAAACTCTTTTTGGTCCCTTCTTCTTGCATTTTAAAATACATGATTGCAAAATAAACCAAGAGCTTGTCCGCAGCTAGAGGAAACATGGGTGATTATCTCTCACTAACTATATGAATTCTTTCAGTCCAATTTTGTCATGCAGTTTTATGCAAATCAGTATGAAATGACATGCAAACTTTTCCCATCTATTTTCTTTCACCCTCCTTGAAAACATCATGAAAAAGTACTAGTGTAAATCCTTTCAGCCTGTTTCAGTCCTTTATTCACTACCTGCCAGAACAAGGGCAATGGACATGCAAAATCTAAGAAAATCTTTTAAGTGATAATCTCTCAACTGTTTAGCATCTGATTCAGTACTCTTTATGAATACAAAAATTATTGCCAAAGCAAAAAGAAGGAAGAAAACATGATAATTTACTGTCAACCTAAAAACGAAACAGAGGGAAAAAATCTTGTATTTTCCTTGACAACACTTCTAAGAAGTCAAAGGGTTGCCTTGCTGTTTTTAAACGAACCTATCTCTGAAATTCATCTTAACTATTTAAGATTTTCCAGTAGAAGAGCCCTAGTTTTCCTGATCAATGTCTATATAAAATGACAGATCTGCTTTTCTGTGCATGACAGATTCAGTTTATTTTTACTGCGTGTCTTAGTCTGCTTGGTTGCCCTAACAAAATACCATAGACTGGATGGCTTAAACAACAGAAATTATTTTCTCACAGTTCAAGAGGTTCAAAGTCCAAGATGAAGGTGCCAATGGGATTGGTGTCTGGTGAGGGATCCCCTTGGGCAGAAGACAGCCAGCTTCTCACTGTGTGCTCACATGACCTCTTCTTTGTGAGCAGACAGAGATAGGTAGGCGTCTCTATACTTTCCTCTACTTATAAGGCCACCAATCCAATCAGATTAGGGACCTTCTCTCATGAGCTTATTTACAGTTAATTGCCTGCTAAAGACCCACGTCCAAACAGTCACACTGCGGGGTTAAGGCTTCAACATCTGACTTTTAGAGGGAAAGAATTCAGTTCATACCTCTCAGTAATTCTAAGTGAATAAGATAGCACTTCAAAACCTATCAGCTAGTGGGAATGTAGTCATGATACTAGTCCTGAGTCTCCTTTGTGTGCTAAAATACTAAGAATTATTTTCTTTTCAGTTTCTTTTTTAGGATACTAATGTCCAGGAAAGGATACTTTTGAACTCTTAAGATAGGAAGTATCTTGGGTCATCACTGTCATTGCACAAAATAAGCTTAAATCCCACTCTAACATTTTAATAAAAGATTCCTCTGTTTCCTACTAGTTACATGTTTGTAGTCCTATCCTTGGGGCCTTCTTTGAGGCAGCATTAGTTCTTACTAGGCTCTACACCAAATGGCAGATGTGATATAGATGATAAAATTCTCAGGCCAAGTCTTTCTGGATTTGCCTGAAAGAAGAGATATAAAGAGGTATTATCTACATCCAGGTGACAAAAAATGCCACTTGTTGGATTTCCCCAGAGGCTGCACATATCTTGTGCTTGAAATTCCTAAGCACTTCATTAAATATTTGGCTTCAACTAAAAAATGATTACAACAGAGAAATAAAACAGTTCTTTATGAAAACAGTGACAAATCTTGATTACTTGCCACTCAAAGAATTTTGTCTCTGTGAGGTGTCAGCAATAAGCCACCATTCTCTTTTCACTGGAAGTTGCAGGACATCGTTTAGCAATGTCTCTGCTGAACTTACTGCACGATCTGTTGTGGAGTATGAAATTCTTACCTGGCCCAGGCATACTCCAAAAAGTCATCTTAGAATTTTATTTTCCTATTTGAGGATCAAAAAGGTTGATACTTAACCTAAGTCAGTGGTTCTCAAAAGAATTTCAAAATAGTGTGTGCATGAAACTGACCAGAGATATTTGTTTAAAAAACAGATTTTCAGGCTCTATATATGGAAACTCCTACACAATAGGTCTGTGGTAGGACGAGAAATTTGTACTACTAATGAGCTATAAGCTATGACTAAATAACACTAAATAACTACATTTTGTGGGAGGCTGTATGGGAAGGAGCAATGTGTAATATTGTGAAAGCTTTCAGAAAGGCTATATATTCAGGGAAAACTTCTCACAAGTAAGAAGGGTTTTTTTTTATTTAAACAGTTTTTTTAATAACAAATGAACTGCTACACATTCAGATAAAATATCTTACCAGTGTAAGATGATTTGTTTGTTTTTTAACAAAAATTTTCCATTGGAACAGTGGGAGTCCAGAGCTCTACAGACAGAAGTCATATAGAGAGCTGTGGCAAGTTGCACCCAAGCAACAGAAGATTCTGTATACATGAAGTGAATCAGGCAGGTAAACAACACCACATAACAAACGACATAGTTCTAAAAATTCAAATTGCAGTCATCCTGTCTAGTATTCTCAGAGAGTCTCTAGAATACTATAAGAGGCATGGTAAATATTATAGGAAGAGAGAAACTGAGCCTTTTGGAGATGGAAGAACCAAATGGTGGGCTAGCAGCTCCTAACCAGAGACTAGATTCAGTCCACAGATTTTTGGTTAACTGTGACCCCATGCTTGGTCTTATTCAGTCCCTTCTTCATAAAAAGTTATCTGTCCTGATAGTAAAATGGAGAAATAGCTCTCCTGATGAGCTTTACCTTTATTACCCTGTCAATAAGACTGGTAGTCTAGGTGTTGTAGGTAAAGGAAAAAAAAAAAAAAGAAAGAAACAAAACCCATCAATACTAAGGAAACCCTAAGCAGACTATGCTGAAATAATTCACGATAGCTGCCCCTCCGTAGAAAGTCAGCCAACAAAAACATAGACTGCAGGTATGGAAAACTCCCAGGATCCTAGGATAACGTAAAACAACCCTAAGCCCCAGACACTAGTGAGACAGCTAATGGGAATCAATTGTGTTTCAGCAAACACTTTATACTTTGTGATCAAAACTGTTAAAAGGAGAGCTTCTCATTCTACTATATTTTCCAAATAAATGTTGAGACAACAAAAATATAATACTATACTATTAGGATAGTAGTATACTATACTATATATTTGTATATATATACAAAAATACTATACCAATTAGAGAGCTTCTCATTCTACTATATTTTCCAAATAAATGTTGAGACAACAAAAATATAACCTAGATGAAGTTTCTTCTAAACATAAACTTTAAAAAGTCTGTCCTGTGACTGAACTGCTTAAGTAATTTTAGTAATTTGTGTTTTATTGATAACATATTTCTAGACTTACAGATTTCATTTTGTTCAGTAACAAAGAAAAACTGAAATGTATAATTACTTTCATAGAATTTTCTTGTGTTTAACTAAATGCAATTAAAAGTTCAAAATGAAAAAGTATTACATCCTTCAGCATTTTAAAATTCAACTGAATAGCTTTTAATGTGAATACAGAAAATACATAAATCTATGCTGTAATTACTTTTGTAGCTGTCACATCACGTATATATGAAAAGTATAATCTCTGTGTGTGTGTCCATTTTAATTTTTATCCTGGGGGAAAAAAAGCAACTTGATCAAGGAACATTAATATTCTCATATCATTATTATAAATGTAAATCCAAAATGCAAAACAAAAAAAACTTTTATGGCTTAAAATTTACATAATTCTGCATTAAGGATGAAGTTACTCATTTCATATCACCAAATATTTTGCACTTGTGATTGTCTAAGAAATGAATTAGGAACAGGTTCTCTGTGCCCTAATCCAGATTTGCTAATAAATTGAATGATTTCCCCAGGAAAGCTATGTAACCACTCTGTAATTCATTTTCTAAGTACAGATCATTTTTTCTTACTTATGGGGTGATTAGGAGATAAAAAAAGATGTTATTATCAAGCAAAGTCTATAACATGTGTTTAAACAAAAAATAGGTAAGAATCATTGTCTTCTTCGAAGCATAGTCTATCTCTTACATTTTCTTTTTTTGATGTACCTATGAATACGAATGTCCATAATACTCTTCAGTATTCACATGAAAATGCTTTCATAATTCTGTCAGCACATGAACATGGATGACAAGAACCCTGGGTGGCCAGGGAATTACTCTTTAATAAGGAACCTTTTAACATATTTGTTATATTGCCCTTCGATCATTATCTGGATTTGTATTTATTTGTGGTCACTGCCTCAATCGCAATATAAGCAAAATCTCTTAGTGCCATTATATCATGCTAAAATGTCCAGTACTTCAGATAGCTTTAATTTACATTCTTGAAACTTCTCTTATATGGTCTCAAGAATGACATTTCCCCTAAAGTTCACCTAATGCCAGCAGCTTTAGAAATCTAATGTCATCCATTTGCTCTGTATGTCCAGGACCACTGCATTCTGATGAGCAAATCTGGAAAGTCACTGCTTCTAAATCTTTGACATCAGAGACTTTATCTTGACATCTGATGTGAAATATAGCACAACAGTATGATAAATGAAACGTGTCTAAGAAATAAAAATGGCACTGGTAAGGATTCAGACATTAGGCCTATATAACATGGTTGACAGTACCATGGCTTTGCTTTGCAGGCCTTCAGACTGGGTTTAACTAATAATGAGTGTTACTGGTTGAGGCTGCCCAATGAGACTTAAATTTTGAGGTAATTTTATATTTCTTTAAGCTTGCTATTTGAAGGCTACAGATGAACAAAATTCATCTTTATATTTAATCGGTAAACTATCAGTGTGAATCAAGGTATATGAGAAATGTTCTCTCTGTGTGTGTGTGTGTGTGTGTGTGTGTGTGTGTATATATATATACACTATATTTAACAATGATATATCACTTCTGCTTCTACTATAAATACTTTTTGGCACTCAGCCTGGGCAACACTTTGAGACACTCACTGTCTCTACAAAAAATAATTACTTGAGTGTGGTGGCAAGTGCCTCTAGTCCCAGCTACTCAACATGCTGAGGCAGGAGGATCACTTAAGCCCAGGAGTTTGATGTTATAGTTAGCTGTGACCATGCCACTGCATTCTAGCTTGGGCAAGAGTAAGAGCTTGTCTCTACAAAAACAAACACAAACCTTTATAGCACTAAACACAATACTCATGTTTAACAGAAATCTCATACACAAATGATTTGGATCTCTGGCTCCATACCAGGCTGCGAGGCTTGAATTCTGTGTAGAATTGAGCTTTTTATTTAGGCAACATATGGCGCAGTTTCCTGGCATGTGAAATGGGGATGGAAGGATCTCTACTTCATTAAGGTAGTTATAATAAGTTAAAGTTTTTAGAAAAGTGTGACATAAGCCTTCAGTGTTAGCTACTGTTGTTGTATGTTAGTTTATTTATTCTACAAATATTTATTGAGTGTCTAATACATGGCAAGTTACATTCCTAGGCAGGTGAGATAAAATAGTGAACAAAGCAATGATCTCTAGTCTCATGGGGCTGTGTGTGTGTGTGTGTGTGTGTGTGTGTGTGGTGTGTGTGTGTGTGTGTGTGATGAACTGTATACTATAAGTGCAAAGTGCTGTAAGAAAAGGAAAAGCAGAAAAAAGTAAGGGAGTCAGAAGTATTGACAATGGGGAGCAGGTTGCAATTTAAATAGGAAGAAGGTCAGGATAAACACCACAGAGACATCTTTGGCATCTGAGCACAGTTGTGAACAAGGCAAGGCAGTTAGTCACATGGATTCTGGGGGAAGCACATATAAGAGAGATGGAATAATGGCCAGCATGAAGGCCTTAAGATAGAAACATGTTCAAGGAAATGTAAGAGGGTCAATGTGCTGGTGAAGACTTAGATGTTATTCTGAATTACATGGTGAGTCATAAAAGCAAGACTGTAAGAAGAGTGACATGAACTATGTCAAGAACAGACTATAACGAAGCAAGCATAGAAGCAAGGAGACCAGGGAAAGTTTACTACAGTAATCCAGACAAAAGATGCTGATGACGTAAAGCAGTTTGACAGCAGGTGGTAAGAAGTGATCTTATCCTGGAGCAGGTGGTAAGAAGTGATCTGATCCTGAATATATTTTAAAGGAAAAAATATATACATATATATGTACATATTTGAAGGAAGAACGACAAGATTTCTTGTTTACTGTGTGTTTTTATACAAAAGGCAACAACATTAAAACTGATAGGATGTATAGTAAAGATTTAGTTATTTTAATGTCCAAATTCACAGTAAACACATATTTGAGTATTTGTAGTAATACAAATATAGACCATTTAAGTTCAACTGAGGATATATGAACTTCAAATAAAATCAACATAAGTTATATATCTAAGTTTATGAAAATTAAAGAGGTCACCAAAATGGTAAATTGTATGTTAATTATAAGAAAAATACATGACATTATTTGTCCATGAAGTTCTATTCTCTTTTTATATTTCTCTCCTTTAGAAGATGTGTATCGTTAAATTCAACAGCTCTTTTACATGAAAGATCCCATCCCAGCCAGGTCTATATTTTCACATCTTATGATGTAACTACTGGTTGACTACATTTTGACTTGATATCCCATTTGAATGTCCTAACACTCTAAAATCAAAACTGTACACATAAATGTCAATATTCTCCATGCAAACAAATTTATCTTTCCAGCACTCTATGCATCTATCAATATTACAACCATTCTTCTAATGACCTAAGCTTCAACTTCGGCACCTCTACCTTACAATCCATCACAAAGCCAACGGGCATTTCCTATTCTCTACTGCCACTTTTCTATTACTTTGACCCAACTGATTCTGTCTGAATGTTTAATGTATCACGCTTGGATTATCACTAATCTTTACTTTCCAATTCCTCACTTCTAGTTAAATCTTCCAAAATCACTACTTTCATCAATCTATTACTCACAAACATTTGAAAACTTAAAATTGTTTAGAGGTAATTCAAAACCCTTGGCAATCTATGTCAAACATCTTTGAATCAATCAATCAATCAATATCTAGTACTTAGATATTCTGTTTCATAAAATGCAAAACACAATACAAAACATAGTGTCTTGGCTCAAAAGGAAACATAGTATATATACTTAAAAATGTCTAATCATGCAAGGCAAAATAGAATCTTCATTCTCTTTTAAGTATTTTGTTTAACACTCAAGATTTAGCAGAATATGATGTGAATCTGCGCTTGAGTTAACCTCCTTTGTAACTAGGGATAAAAGTATTTTTCTTCTTGAGAGGTGCTATAGGATTCAGCAGATCACAAATTAATAAAATTGGCAATTAAGTTACATGGTACAAAATGAAGAATAGAATTTTGGTGGCCAATTTAGCTATATGTCCAAATGAGTGCTAGAGAAATAAAAAGTTGAAATTACAGTAGGCTGACATGGAAAGACTCCAAAGATGGTTAACTATAAACAGAATATTTTAATGTAGATTATATTGAGATAAGTACGTAATACTGCAACAGGATTTCAAACAGGTACAGTGTGACAAGGAAATTAATAGAGGATGGAAAGCAAAACTGTTTATCTGATCTTACTGGGAAGGAGTCTGGAGATAGATATGATTGGGATACCAGATTATGTACAATTTTCTTTACATTTCTATGAACAAAATCACATATTTCAGTAAAAGCAGTCTCTTCGTTACTCTCAAACAATCTTATCCCCATTTTGACCTCTATACAGGTTCTTAAGGCTGTTCCATCTCTTTTCCTGATTCATCTCAAAAAATGATGTTTCGTCTTACTGATAAACCAAAATTCACCTTGATTTTAAGGCCAATTCAAATTCCACCTCCTTTAATGAAGTTTTTTTCTAAAATTCTGCCTCAGGATAATATTTATTGCTATTAAACTATTCCAATACTTACTATCTATAACATTTGACCTGTATTTTAAACATACGTATTTATAATGTCATAGCGTTGTTTTCAAGTCGTAAGTCCAGAATTCTGTCTATTGTAGGGAAAATGATATTAGTTACAGAGGACCATAAAAGAGAACTGGTTTCAAATACATCCTTCAATATATTTTAAAACAACTAAATATACAATACATTTAAACCCTACAGTAAAATATTCAGGGATTTTAATTCAGAGCATCTAATTACAATTCTCTATTTTTTTAATTTCTCAAATGAAGCTATTACTAAAGTCCTCAAAAGGGTATGAAGAACACTTAAACTCAAAAAAATCGTATAAATAGTAGAGAAAAAGTGATGATTTAAATAACTATATAGTAAATGTTCTTTAAAATTAATAAAACCAGTTACTCATTTCGTATTTACACTGAGCTCATTAAAAAATGATTTTCTTTTTCGGTAAGCAGTTTTTTGTAAATGAAGTTTCTTAACAAATAAATATTGATATTTCGTAGTTAGTACATATTATTAGCATATAATTAAAATATTTCTCCAGAGATTTCAAAGTATATTTCGTCATTAGTAATTAATGTATCACACGTGTATCAGTGTATTACAAGGGAGCACTTACACATACTTATACACACTTACTCAATTTTTTACCCATAAATTGGTTTTATCAAATATACTTCCATTTTTCACAACTCTTTTTCTTTATAGATTTCAAAAATGTTACACTGACTTGCAAACACCAAAATCATACTTACTGAACAACTTTTCTTTAAACTGGCTTTTTTTTTTAAGCTGGTTAATTCATACGAAATCCCTCAGATTTGTCCTTAATCAGAAATATGTATTAATGAAAACAAGAACATTCACAAAACTTCAATTAGAATTTTTGTTTTTTTCTTCTGGAGAAAGAGTCTCACTCTGTCGCCCAGGCTGGAGTGCAGTGGCACAACCTTGGCTTGCTGCAACCTCCACCTACTGGGCTCAAGTGATTCTCCTGCCTCAGCCTCCCGAGTAACTGGGACTACAGATGTGTACCATCATGCCAAGCTAATTTTTGTATTTTTAGTAGAGGCGGGGTTTCACCATGTTGGCCAGCCTGGTCTTGAACTCCTTATCTCAAGTGAACCGCCTGCCGTGGCCTCCAAAAGTGCTGGGATTACAAGCGAGTGCCACCACACCCAACCCTTCCATTAGAATATGTAAGCACAGTCAAAACTCATTTTACGTTGCATATTTAAGATCTTTGCATTTTTTTGTATATAAATCATACCTCAATACTAAAAAAAGATACGTTTTCATGGAAATATTATTTGGAAAACCTTAGGAAAAACAAATGAGAATCGTTCCATCATATCCACAGAAAAGTATGCCCACGAGTTTTGCATTTATGATCTGGAAGCATTTTTTTTTCTAAAATAGAGACCACCGCTAGAAAAATGTGAAATAATTTTTTTTTTTCTGTTTTACATCAGGAAATGCATAGTAGTCCCCCCTTATCTTTGGTTTTACTTTCTGTGGTATCGGTTACCTGCTGTCAACTACAGTCCAAAAATATTCAATGGAAAATTCCAGAAGTAAACAATTCATATGCTTTAAGTTGCAGGCTGTTCCGAGTAGTGTGATGAAATCTCATGCCATCCTGCTGTGTCCTCCTTGGGCTGCGAATCATGCCTTCGTAGAGCATATCCACACTGTACATGCTACCTTCCCATTAGTCACTTAGTGGGTTGCTCAGTTATCAGGTTGACAGATCACAGGAAGAAGAAGAGTGGGTATAGTACAATAAGGTATTTTAAAGGAGAGACAGACCACAGACCACATCCACGTAACATAATTTATTACAGAATATTGTTATAATTGTTCTATTTCACTATTAATTATTGCTGTTCATCTCTTACTGTGCCTAATTTATAAATTAAACTTCATCCTGGTATGCATGTTTAGGAAAAAACACAATATATATAGAGTTTGGTACTATCTGAGATTTCAAGCACTGAATGATGGTCTTGGATT
Organism: Homo sapiens; assembly: GCF_000001405.40. Taxonomy (NCBI): domain Eukaryota; kingdom Metazoa; phylum Chordata; class Mammalia; order Primates; family Hominidae; genus Homo; species Homo sapiens. Next base: position 15,715,144 of record NC_000008.11, on the reverse strand, counting down.
AGGGTGGACTGTATAAAGATTATTTAATTTAATTATCAGAACAGGAAAAAAAAGAAACCTTGAGGTGTACAGATTCTTCCATTTTACAGAAAAGGTTAAGTAACTTGTTTAATCAAGAAGTGTCAAGGGACACCTGCATTCAAATGCAACGTTGTATAATATGCAATTTCATGCTGTTACCGTTGTATCATAGATTCCAAAATAATCCAGTTTAAAATTATAAAGAGTTATAAAGAGGAAGAAATCCTACCAAGAGAGCTATTAATAATAAAATGTAAAATTCAGTTCTGAGTATCTGAAAATATAAAACTAACATCTACCAGAATTGGTTATGTAGCTCTCACTTCAGACATTCTCTGGGTTTAATATACATCTTTCTTTTGAACATTCATCTTCTCAATTAAGTTTACTGATTCTTTATCAAACTGAACAAACTGAAAGAAACCTTAAACTAGCAGACAGAGGACAAGAAATTGTATATTTAACATTCCTACTAAGAAAGAAGTATAACCTTGGAAATTATGTAGTACTGAAATATCTGGATTAATACCAGATGTTTTAAGATAGCTCACAATTCTTCATTAGTACAAGTATTTCAGAACCATGTTGGTATCACCTCTAAAGTTTCTCTTTAATAACCACTTCCAGCAGTTACAAACTACCAAATATAACAACTATATAAAATGTAGTGCCTTTATTGTAATGTAAAAATTTGTGATAATTCAAACACTTTCTGGCTGGAAATAGCGATGAGATGTCATTTTTTTCAATCCTCTATCTTTTGATGATGGCATAATAACTTCAACAAAATTGGGGTTCAAAAATCAAAATTTAAAAACAACATATATACTGCTACACTTGTTATTTACACAGATTTACTTTACGGATTAATCATTCAAATCCTTTATAAGTGTGCTTGAGGTAAAGTGTTACAAAATTCTATCCTCATATTCCAATAACAGAGCATTTTAAGTTATATAATGCAATTTATACAGACTGTCTTCAAAATGCTTTGTACCACCAATAACACATCTCATGCTGAGTAAAGAGGTAGATGTTACTATAAGTTGTTCTTAATTGTGTAAGACGTCTGTAGCTTCAATGAAGAGGTAATATCCTTCAAGGCGCACTTTCACTAAAATAAAACTTAATCAGTAAGCCATTAACAAGCAAGTGGTATTTGCTTAAGTACTTTTCAAATGAGGCCACGGTTGTGAATAAGTGACCAATTATTTTCATGAGAAATATGTTTAACAAATGTCAACTGAGTATTATTGCTCTGTTAGAGGCTGAATTGAGTCCCTCCCAAAAATGCCTAAGTCCAAAACCCCCAGTACCTCAGAATATGACTCTTTGGTGAGAGGGTCTTTAAAGAGGTCATTAAATGAGGTCACTAGGATGGGCCCTAATCCAATATAATTGGCATCTTTATAAAAAAAAGATCAAGACACAGACATGCACTGAGTAAAGACCATGGGAAGAGTGAGGGAGGAGAAGGCAGCCATCTACAATCCAAGAGGAAAGACCTCAAACTCGCCCTGCTGACTCCTGGGTCTCGGATGTGTGTAGGCTTCGTAATCCTGAGCAAATACATTTTCTGTTGTTGGAACCATCCAGTGAGTGGTACTTTGTTATGGCAGCCCTAGCAAACTAATATATCTATTACAACTGACAAAAATTCTGCTAGTTTTCTTAAGATCTTTTAATCGATGCCACTAATGCCTTATGTTTATTGTCAGCTTTCTTTTGAACAATGACAGTAACACTATGCTTAGATTTTACTTTTAAAAATGTAATTTTAATTGGAAATGCTTACAAGCATGTAAATTAAACACATGTATTATATATACTTACAAGTGTAAATATGTGTGGAAAAGCACAGAAAATAAATGAGAAGAAACCACATAAAACTGTAAACCACTGTTACCTTTGGAATGAGTATGATAAATTCGGAAGAGAATAATGAAAGGGAGGCTTTTATGTTTTCTTTTATATAGTTATGTATTATTTCAACCTTTTACGACTTTTACAAAAACGTATTTGTGGATTATTTGGGATCAACATGTTCTTTAAAGAAAAGCAAAAATATTTACTGTTGCCATCAAGTTTACAATATTCTAGAAAAATAAGAATTACTTATAAATGCTGTGGACATCCAACTGATTTAACAGCATGGAAATAACTGGTGACCTTAGAGAGTGTAATTATCAATGGAGCTACGCATAAAGGAGCCAGACTGAACTGTACCGAGGAGTGAACCAGAAATGAAGAAACTTAATGGACACAGATAACTCTTGTAGTAGTTTAGTTTACATAGGAAATAAGGTCATCTAAAGTGACCCTTACTGTGACCTGTGAAGACTAGAATAAAGGTGTGCAGGTGAGAAACTTTAGGAGCAAACACTGTGGAATGTATTAAATCAAAACGTTATTTCTGACTTTCTACAGTATTTTACAAGCAGCAGCAAAGTAGGCAGTAAAGCTTAAAAGGATTGGGGATTGGCAAGAAGATAGACGGTTGAAAAGAAAGAGGACTGAGATTCTAGAGAAGGAAATCTTAGTGTCCTTTGGAGACCACGTAAATCCTTTTTAAAAGGGGTGATGGAAATAGGAACATAAAAGAGATCTAATAAAACGGTTAAGGAATAAAGATCGAAATAAGCAGGAATAAGAGAAGGGGAGAAACTGAAGTTAAACTCGATGTGAATTTCAAGTTGAAGATCTTGGTTTTGGAACTGTTACATGTTTTCATGAGGTTTCAAATAGTTCTGAAAAGAGCAGGTTAAGTGGAATGAACAGGTAGTGACAGAAGTTAAACAGAAAAATGATAATACAAAGATAGTTTGCTAAAAGAATCAACAGCATGAGTACTCTGAACAAAAGCATTAAAACAAGGAAATTTATATCATGTCTGAAGACGAAGAATGAATTAGATAATCTTTAAAAGTCCTCTAAGAGCCTCTAATCTTATTTTTCAAATAAGCTATTACTTATTTGAAATATTTTACAATACTTGTAAAATAAGATTGTACTTTCTGAAAATACTATTAATAAGATATATTCAATCCTAGAAAATAAAAATTATTATGTGACGAAACTGTGCACAGCAATTTAGTATGTTTTCTTCTTGGAAGGAAAAGATTAAAAATCAAGGTCTGAACAAATCACAACAATAATATTCATGAAGTTCATAAAGTTTGTGTCTTGGTTATTATTTCCTTTCAGTTCCTGAAACTATAGTAAAAACGTGACGATCAAACTGGGGGTGGCAGGGAGGAGGAAGCTATATATTTTAAAATATACTCTGAAACTATAGAGTAATTCTAATTGTCAATTAAAATTCTCAAGTGGAAAGCTTAAATATACAGGTAAAATATATTTGCAATTATAGCATTATCTTTATGGATATAAACAATCAAGATACTATTGTTCACAAGAAGTTATTTTCTTGAGCAAATCAGACAAAACAGGTTATATCCTTAATTTGCTTAGCAAACCATGCCTACACAGTGCAATGGTAAATTCTCTAAAGATGATGCTAAACTATCACAAATTCCAAAGTTAAGAATCTTAATGCTTAAGGCATTAATGCGATTTAAACAAATATATATACATATATTAAATATATATATATACACACATATTAAATACACACACACACACACACACACACACACACACGTACCTTTTTGTTTTTCTAAAACCTGGTAACCTCTTTTCTGAGATAAGTTTTTGGTTTAGAAAAAGTAAACTAAATTATCAATGGCACAGATCCTTTGAAATTATGTTTATCCTTTCAATCTTCTAAATAATATTTGAAAAAAAGAGCAGAATCTTCTATGCCTAATGAAGAAATTCTAGGAATCCTACAAAAGAAGGGAGAGAACCCTTAAAATACTGCCTCAGCTTAAGTAGATCAACATCGAGGAGAGACTTACAGGAATTTTTCAGAAGAAGTGTTTCATTACTTTTTATTGCCAAGGAAAATGCTGGTAGTGAGAGGAGAGGACAAGAAAAAAAAGGGAAAGCGAAGAAAACGGAGGTAGTAGTTTGGGGACTACTGTTTTAATGTCTACATTATCAGAGACAAGCCTGAATTTAGATGAGAAGTTCTTAATTTACTATACATAAGACTCAGGAAACCCTTGAGGGGTGACTTGGGTGGCAGATTAGTTAACTGACTGCAAAGTTAAGTGAAATTCTGGAATGCAGGCAAAATTCCACTTCTTGATTTGGTGCTGGTTTTATATATATATATTTTATATTATATATATAATGCAGCTTAGTAATTTGCATGAAGTGAATATATATATATTTATAAATTCACTTCATGCAAATATATATATTTATAAATATATATATTCACTTCATGCAAATTACTAAGCTGCACATTTATGATTTGTGCATTTTTATGCCTATATATGTTTCTGTAGAAATTTCACTCAAATAACCTGGGAATCTTGCTACAAAGGTGCATTTCTAGGTCCCATTTTCTGCAATCTGCATTTTAATAAGTAGCCTGGGGGTTTGCTCAGCCAACCTCTGGAACATAACTGGAAAAATGACAGTGGAGAGGTAAACAAGTGTTTCCTTTTTCATGTCAGCTATGTTTTCCTGCCATAGGAATTTGTGGCCCATTCAATGAATCTGCTTATTTTAAACTGCAGATTGATTACTCACTGTAGAATGAAGGCCCTTGTTCGGTCAGAACTCATTTCCACTCTCACTCTTTATTTCATCTAGGCTTAAATAGCACGAGGCCCTATACTAGAAGACACAAAAATGAGGAAACAATCATTTCTGACTTTAAGAAATTTAAGTTTACATTCCAGTTTAAATAACTATATATTATCTAAACTACAAACCAAGCAAAAAATTAGGTAGCATAAGTGGTAGCAAATAAAGCATTATTAAATTAAGAGGAAGGGTGGAGAAACAGACAAAGTTTCTTGGGAGAGATCATCATAGGATGATTCTAGCCTCCAGACAAAACCTAAAGTAACATTTCAGCAAATAGAAGAAAAAGGAGGTAGGACTCCGAAAAGGGCAGGGAGGGGAGCGCACTAAGGTAAAAAACAGTATAGACTGTAGATAAGTCCACCAGGAGGGAAGAGGCTGTCACTACATTTGGAGGGATCCTGGAATAGGGGAGAAATAATGAATTTTGTTAAGTATAAGGAAGTCACAGAAGACTTTTGAATAGAAAGGAAATGTGACTGTAGGTCAATTTAGGAAGCTGAATTTGAGTGCCATAATGTAATGGACTGCAACAAGGAAAAGATGTAGGTGAGCCAGTATGCTATATTAAAGTGATGAGGAATCTGGACTACGCAGTTAGACAGGTCTAGTTGCAGTGGAACCCTATTTAAATCAAGCTACTTAACCTCTCTAAGCCATACTTTCCTTACCTAATTGGGAGATAATAGTGGCAATTTCATATAAGGATACTATAAGGACTAAAGGAGATAACACATACAGCTCCTAACACATTAAAGGTAATTTATCATCATCATCATCATCCTCCTCCTCATCATCCACATTTTCACATCATTCAAGCTTTCCCCGTGCTCTTAGATATGGAGTATATAAATGGCTCAATGGGAGCTTCATCTGGAGCTAAATTCTGGCTGGGAATAATGAGTAAGTCAGAGGAGCAAAAATGAAGAAGGCATAAAATACATATAAGAATATGGATTAACTAGAGCTAGTTCAATCAGCCAAAGGAGAACGAGGAAATACGTGTAGTCAAAATATACAAAATCTAATTTCTCTAACAGGACTTATCTCATACTTGGATTGGGGTAAAAGCTTTCAGATTGGCATTCCTCCAATCTTTTTTATTTTCTAAAAAATAACAGAACTACATATTACTGTTGAGCTAATATTACTAACATAAAAACTTTTTTCCAACAGTAACTAATTATTTGTGCAGTGAATACAAATTTACCTACCTGATCTTCCAAGACAGATTATGTTGGATGCAGTATACCTTCCCAAACATAATATAATCTAACATTTGGCTATCCTCTCTCTTCTAGTCAGGCTATCTTTCCTGTACAAAAACACCATTTTTATATCTGCCTTCCAAGCTTAATGATCAACTATTAGTTGGAGTTCTATCTTCTTTTGAACCAATTCAAATATAATTTATCAAATCTAAATTAAGTACTACTTTGTCAATTTAGATCAAAAGTTGTTAATTTACTTTACATAAGACTCAGGAAACCCTTTTTATGGCACCTAACTCCACACAGATCTTTTCCTAATCTGAAATTCTGATGTATTTATCAGTCAGAATCATCAAGTTTACACACGGATTTGGACTGTTTTCTGTTTCACTTTTATCAGTATCATGACTCCACGTATCTTGTAAAGATCTTGAAATAGAAGCCATGATTATAATCTCCAAAGTATCTAGACTAATGCTAGACAGAAAGCATTATTAAATAAACGTTGATTGACTGTTTAACCCAATTCTCTGTTTAAAAACTGAATGTTTTATCTTTCTTCTCCACCAAAATTCTTAGTTATGGCATATGTTATCAACTTGCCTCCCAAAGCATTCTCAAAATCATTTCAACCCTCTCTATACACTGCTCACTGAACCACAGATGAAGTTTAATAATCATCACTTTTAAATCACTACCACACTTTCATTTAGGAAGCCATTATATGTTACTTCTGTCTTCAGACTAGTCTTTTAAGTCTTTCAGTTTTGTGTGTCACTTTTCTAAAATACAAATCTGCTCATGCACCTCAAAGGTTTACAGGCTTCTGGTACCCAAATGCCTACAGCAGAGTCTAAACATCTTCCTGTGACACACAAGGTTTTTCCTAATCTATTCCCAATCAACTTTCTCAGTATTCCTCCACACTCCATTTATTCCATTTCCTCTACATTTATTATCCTGAATCTACCAATAACTTTACATACCTCTAGGCCTTTGGGTATTTTCTTTACTTTCTTATGCTACTCTGCCCAGTGTAGTGAGGTTGAATGATGTCCTCCTCCAAAAATTAACTTGGACTGTGACCTTATTTGGAAACAGATTTAATTAGTTCAGGATTTAGGAGGGCCCAAAATCCAATGAGAGTATCTTTATAACTTTATAAGAGACAGAAAAGGATACAAAGAGAAGCACAGAAGAAGGGGATGTGAAGATGGAGGCAAAGACTGGAGTGGGGCATCTATTAATACAAGCCAAGGAACGCTAGCAATTGCCAGCAACTACTAGAACCTAAGAAAGAGGCATGGGATGGTTCTTTCCTTAGAACCTCCAAAAAAACCAACCCCGCTAATCTTTTGATTTTGTACTTCAGCCTCCTGAACTGTGAGAGAACAAATTTGTGTTGTTTTAAAGTTACCCGGTTTGTGGCATTTTGTTGTGACAGCCCTAGAAAATTCACACACCCAGGGATGCACATGTCAAATTCCCACTTCAATGTAAACATCTGAGCTTTTCCATTTCCCATTCCACATCTCCTATAGAGTCATCTAGGCAATAAGCTGCTGTTCCATCTTTGCTCTCGCAGAAATATATTCAACATTATATTTGATTGTTACCAAGCTGCATGGCTGTTGTCTACTTACATATCATTTCCCCTACAGGCCTGGGAAAACATCAAGAGAGAAAAATGACTTGTGCTTTGATTTCTGGTATTTAGTGGTGGTGTTTGCCACAATATATGATCAAAAATGTCTTGCTAAAACATAAAAAATATAGGTTTAAAAAACATAGGGCACAAAACTTAGACATTCTTCTCTTGTATTCAATCACTGAAAAGACAGACTATATGATGTGACTCTTATTACAATGCTTATTGCAGAAGTTCAGGACAGGAAACAAAAGTCCAACATAACCACATTTCAGATTTCTTAAATGTAAATTTTAAAGCTTACTGAGAATAGCTTGGCATAAGCATTTTTAGCTGTATATGCATTTACATTACCAGTTCAATTACTTTATGTAGGCATTATGAAAGTGACTAACTCTCAAATATACCATCTGATATAAAATTAGGTTAGTTTCACAGACTTTTAGTAAACTACTAACCCATGGTGATAAAGCTTTGAGACATAGTAACTCAAAAAAAGCAGTCAGGTAAAAACATGGAGTCCAAAACCCATAAAGTATACTTTTATAGCAACAAATGATGACTTATAATATGATTCAATGATCAAAAGTAGCATTTTCCTAATTATCAGTTTTTTATGTTGCTCTGGGTGGCTGAATGAACTTCTTGCGCCCTACAACTTAACTTCCCAAATTTAAAAGGACAAAATAGTAAAAGAATAAAGTTGATAGCTGAAATACATGCTTCTCTACAAGTACTTTATTAAAGTGTCATTGTACAATGGAAGAGTGCTTAGAAAATGCTCGTGATCATATTTGCACAATCAAGAGTTCAATGCAGTTTGTTTCACCCATACAGAAGGCGTAATTATTTTATTTTCAAGTTATGAAATATTTATTCGTATATTAACATCTTGTATTAAAATCCACATTTCAGTATGAGCTACACGAAATTGATAATACTGTTATCTTTTCTCTACTCCTGCAAATAGAATTTCAGAGTGGAAGCTTCTTCTATTAACACTTCAAACCCTTTTTAAGTATTCATATTATGACTCTGACATCTGTCTGAATGATAATAGCAAAGTCATGTGAAAAGTTTGAAGGGTTCTTTCTTAATTGGCTTACTTAAAACCAATATTTTAACATGGAATTGGATGTTCTTGTTAGATTATGAGAAATCTTTCTTTCATTTCCTGAGGAAAGCACTGCAAAATAGAATGCTGCTCTTGAAAAGATAACACTTTCTTTTCCTTTGCTTCCTTAATTGACTTATTGACAACATAAATACAAAGAATTAACACTATTAGACTCTCAAATGAAAATAAACAGCAAACACATAAATATATACCAAAATATACCATATATATGCAATAATAGTAATTTATTATTTACTGAAAATTTAGGGAAACAGTATGCAATATTATAATACATCAGAAGTACTGAGACAATAGGAGTTAACACCCCTGTCTCTAGATTACAATCTGGTTTAATTAGGTACAAAGGGTAACTGTTTTTGTCAGACTCACAGCTAAAATTTGAGAGATCCAACCATGTATAATATGAGTATCTTTAAAGAGTACTTAACTGGAATCTAAAATCCAAACTTCTAAAATGTAAGAAAACAAGTATGTAAAATGGATGCCTCTGTTACGTCACAGCACAGAGATTCAAGGTACACTAGCAGGAAAGGCGGCACAGTTTTATCTGATAATATGTAAGTTGTAAAGCATGAAGGAGGGGATGAGAACCAAAAGAGAAGCTATTTCTGTAATACCTACAAACTCTGACAGACTGAAGATGACCCACCTGCCATCATCATTGGGCTGAAGCAGTACTATGCAGGAGAGAGGCACAAAGACCACTAAATATTGAAGAGATGAAGAGATGCACAAAGACCTTCTTTCTTCCACTCTATCACATAGGGCCATGCTCAAGGATGTTGGAATTCAGCCTTCTGAGAAACTTTTATCAGAGCAAGCTATCAGCGCTTTGTGAAGAATCATTTTAAAGGTAAGTCTTGTAGCTCTGACATATTACCCACCAAAATTGGTTATATACAAGAAAATATTTTATTCAGAGTTTATATAAATTTTTATTTATATACACTACACGTTACTGTTAGGTGATCAATCTAATTTAATAGAATACTATATTCATTCTGATTTCTACAAATGGTTTCATAAAAATGAATAGATTCTGGAGTGGTTTTCCATAACAATAATTTGAGCAGTCTTCTTGTTTAAATAGTTTTTGTTCAAAGTAAATCTTTTTTATTTTAAACAAATATACCACTGTGAAACTCCACTCATCATAAGAAGCCAAGAAAACATTCCAGCAGTGCTTCCTTTCATCATCAAATCAATGTCTCTGTACTCTTTCTTTAGAATAATTGTTTTGGTAACTATGGCTCTAATTCCTGCCGTTAAGAAGGTCCGAGAAAAAAAAAATCATGCACCCAGGGCATTTTACATTATCTTTGAAGAAATGGGTCATGAAAATACAAAGACATAAATAATAATACCCTAATAAAATAAAGGTATAAAATATGAGATGCCACAGAGAAAAACCTAGTAAGTTATATAACAAGTGTTCCAAATAATAAGGACTATTTTTTTTTTTTTAAAGAATACAGGATTAACAAAGAAGCCAGCATGGGTTCTAACTGTTTTGTGATTAACTTGTTATGTGCTTTTGGGCAAATCACTTAACCCTTTTGATTCCCAGTTTATCTAAAAAATCAAACGTAAGAAGTAACGATCCTTCCTATTCCAAAACTCGTCAGGGTCAATATAGGAGCAAACAATGCTCATTCTTTTTACATCCCAAGCATCATATATCTGCTGCAGAAAGGAAAAAGAGGGATAGGATTGGATGTACAGACAGACACAGGGGCAGTGGGTTAGGAAAGAGAAAAAGAAAAGGAAAAAAAAGAGTTTCCTTTAGTTGGTATTTATGTGTTCTGTGGAGAACCAGCGTTACAGTCTAGTTTAGTAGTTGTCATAAACCGAACGAGAACAAAGAACCAATAAAGTTATGTAGCTATCTTTCTCAAAAATAAGTGATTTTTAAAATGTCAGATTATCTCACTCCTTGGCTTGATATCCTTCAAATGGCTTCCACATCACTTAGATTAAAATTCAAGGTCCCTAACAGAGTTTACAAGGCTTATATAGAACACATGTCAACTTGTGCTCTTGCCCCTGCCCCACAGCACAGCACCGTGTCACTCTAATCATATCTACCACTCTCTTCCTCACTCTCATTACTACAATCATACTGGCTTCCTTGCTATTCCAAAAAAAAAAAAAAAAACCATTAAGAATGTTTCCATTTTGGGGCCTTTGCACTTGCTGTTCCATCTTCCGATACTATATAAATCACTCTCTCATTTCCTTCAGGTCTCTGCTTAAATGACTTCTTTTCAGATAGGCCTTCTCAGAACCCTGTATAAAAAAGCATTCTCCTCAACCTTCTATCACTCTGCTTTACTTTTCTCAAAGTATTTACTACCACCTGACATATTTGCTTTTTCACTGTCTGTGTCCCCTGGCTAAAATAAAAGCTTTTTGAGGTTATAAGCTTTATCTATTTTGTTCGTCACTTATTTTGCAGTGCGCCAAGCCAGACTGCTTAAGACAGCATAGAGCAGACACTCTGTAAACTTTTGCTGAGCGAATGAGCTAATGAATACAGTGCTATGGTTTGTATGTTTGTCCCCTCCAAATCTCATGTTGAAATGTGATCCCCATTTGTTGGAGGTGGGGCTTGAGAGGAGGAGTTTGGATCATGGGGGACTTGGTGCCACCCTCCCAGTAATGAATGAGTTCTCCCGCTATTAGTTTCCATGATTTAAGAGAATCTGGTACGTCACTCCTCTCACTCGCCATTTGATTGCTACACATGCTGGCTCCCCATAACTTTGGCTATGAGTGGAAGCAGCTTGAGGCACTCACCAGAAGCAGATGCTGGCGCCATGCTTCTTGTACTGCCTGCAGAATGGTGACCCAAATAAAACTCTTTTCTTTATAAATCACCTAGTCTCAGGTATTCCTTTATAACAACCCAAATGGCCAAAGACAACAAGGCTGCCCAAAGCTGTTATTTTCAATATCACTAATGAATGTTTAAAAAATGTTAAAAACAAGACAAACTTCAAATTCTCCAACTCAACTGCAACCCAAAGTACATTAAATTTGAAGAAAAAATTCCCACTTAGAAGGGTTCAGAAAAGGAAATTGAAAGTATAGAGTAGCTGGAATATGTTATTTGTTTTACCTCTATTTCCATAATATTATAATCTATAATTAATTAGGCTCAAGTTACATATCTCTTTAAAGTTTATACCTATACTAATGTCCCCTGATACTTTCTCTATAACATTCTTGAATTCATAAAGAGTTTAGAAAGATACTTTCTTCCCTAATAATAGCAAGCTATGCAACTAAAATGAGATTCTGTAATCATTTGGGGAATCAACATGAAAGAATCTCAGCAGTTTTTCCCTACAGCAGAGTCTAAGTTAAACAAACAATAAGAAGATAGCCTCACTACTACCTCCATTGCACGACTGTGTGGTGTTTTTTGTTTGTTTAATTAGTAAACTGGGACAGTATACTTCTTGGCATCATGCACGTAAACAATTTCAGCTCATCTTTCTGAAACTCTCAATCACTGTCAACTATGCCTAGCAATGCTGAAACCAAGTGGACCATGAGTTTCTAGTCTGATGAAGCTATTAGAAAAGCTAAAGAGAAGTTAGTTGTATTTTTTGTTGTTGATGTTGTTTGTTTGTTTCAATTTGTTATTTTAAGTAATATAAGTCTGGTACACAGAAAAAAAGGTAATACTTCCACTCCTCCCTGTTCAGAATGCATCTGGAGAATAGTATTCAACTTGAACGCTGCAGGTATTAATGGTGACACCGACAAACTGGAGAGCAAAGCAGAGAACAGAAACCAGGATAGGGAGACACTACCAATCTGTGGCATGATGACTGCTGAAAGAGCTGGAAACAGGTTGCCTAGAAAGAGAGTACAGTGTGAACACCCACCTCAAATATTTGTTCAGCTGATATGAGAACCTTGGAAGGTATTTATACCATGAGATTCCAGAGGGAGGAAAGAAAGCACTATTAAGCATTTCAAAGAAACAGTTTTCAGCTCCATATATGAAACACTTTCTCAACAAATAAAGCATTCTAAAGCTAAAATTGGCTGTCTCATGAGAAAGCAAGTTCCCTATCTAAATTGTTTAAGAAGTGGCTCAACAACTATTATTTAATACCAATGTTTACAAAAGGGTTTCTTACTCAAACAGAAGATTCTGGCTTTGGTAACATTAGAGTCTCTTCCATCTGAAGTACCTATGAAAAGTCTTTTAAGAGTAAATGCCAGAGTAAACAAAAAGAGTCTACAAAAGGAAGCCCCATCAGGCCAAGAAAATAGGCTCTCTTGATTTCGTTCTCCACACAGCCGTGACTGGTCTCTTACATAATGGCTCTTCCATTCTCGTCCCATTTCCATTACCTTGGTAGTGGCCTTAAAAACCTCAAATTCATCAACAACCTCTTATCTCTGAGAACTGAGACCATCTGTGTCAACATGACTTAGTAGTTTATTCAAGGAAATCTTTGCCTGGCAAAGGATAAGACTGTAAACCAAAAAAATAACCTACTGTTTGCTTCAAGAAATTCTCACAGACCAATTTATCAGAGACAACAGTCCATACAACTTGGATAAACAGCTTACTTTAAGACTCTTGCCTCAGTGTCCAACAAACCTAAACTGTTCCATCACAGAATTTGCCTAATCCACATAAGCTGCCTGTCTTAAAAAGCCCACCTTAAACCATTTCAGCACAGATCCCAAAGCCCTATAAATATCCTTCTTCTACTTCTTCCTTCTGAAACACTGCAAAGTTTTTCTTACTGCAGTTAAATTCTAATACATTTGGCTTTGTTTTATTAACAGATTGATGACATTGTGGGTAATTCAACATCTCTATGCATCTACTTCTATAATGAACCATCAAACAACCCCCAAACCCAAAACAGCTACTATATCGACTACAAAATTAACTTCCTTCCTGAAACACTATTCTGGTAATATTATTCTATGGCTTAAAAATGTTTAAAGTAAAAAATACACACATACACAGTATTTTACAAATCATCTTCAATTTCAAAAATATGTTAAGTAAAACTATCCAGACACATACTATGTGATTCATTTTATGGGAACTTCAAGCATAGGCAAGGTAATCTATGGTGATAAAAATCATAACAGTGGCTTCCTATGAGGAATGGCAGATATACATGCAAGAGGCCCTGAGGAAATTTTGTGGGGGAATAAAAAGGTTTTACATTGATTATTACAGGGAAATATACACTTATTAAAATAGGCATTTAAGATCTGTGTATTACGCTATTTGTACATTTTACTTCTGTAACATTTTTTTAAAGTCCATTTAAGATTTCTAATTCCAGACAAGATGGATGTACTTGTGTTTGTCCCTCTAGTTAAATACTGCCAAACACCCTGGACATCACATATAAAACAAACATAAGAAGATTCTGAAAGGTAGAGAGAAGAAAGCACACAGAATAGGGACCTCCGGACTAACACAATGATTTTCACTTCACATATCCTGGACTGGATGATACTGGAGAAGTGGGCAACCCAGAAACACCAACAGGCAAAGCAAAAAAAAAAAAAAAAAAGCTCCAGCCATTCCCTCTAGTGAAAGGACCAGAAAAGGGACAACAAACATTCTTTTTCAGACAAACACTGAAAGAGACATCTGTCTCTTTAAACAAACAGTTTCTTAGGTACCCAACACCACTCTTTCTTCAAATCATTCCATGATTTCCTACTGCTCAGATGATTAGGAGCAAATTACCACAAAGCTTTCAAGGTCCCTCATAATCTAGTAACAAATTATCTTTCTAGCCTCATTTCTCAACACTCACAGGCACTAACCACATCAAATTACTCTCTGTTCCCTCAACAAGGCATATGGCCTTTCTTCATTCTGTCCTATTTTCCACTTGTCCATTAACTGAAGAAATTTAATTTTTTTCCTACAATATCCAGCCTAAGGAAAAGGCTCTTTCACTCCTACTTACTCTGTTCACACAGCACTTTGCTTATATTATGATTATAGCTAGTCTCATATTCTATCAGAAATTAACTGTAGAATCACCTGCAGCCCTGAATAAATTATGAACTTCACAAATACAGGAATTCAGCCCAGAATACTGTTACACCCCCAGAGCTACACAGAGGGAAAAGCATACCGTAGTTATTCATTGAATTGAATTAAATAAATGACTTGAAGTGTGAGTCTGTCTGGTGGAAAAGCATGATAAACTTTTTTCTGAGTCAGTGCAACTGGCTTTCTGGACCCAGAGATTATTTGGAGTTGAAATGTATTTGGATTCAGAATTTCATACCCTAAGCTGATGCCTTCACTGTAATCTTGTCCTGTTTTCAATCTAAGGAACACACACAGGACAGGGTATTTAATCTCTATAATAATAGATTCTATTCAAATGTAGATAATAAAAAGATTATAAAAAGATTCTAATGTTGCAATATTGGAATGCCCTTTCTGCTGACTCAAGTCCCGTTTATAAAAAATGGGCTAGCAAGACATTATATAGAGGCTTTTGCTGATGCTTATATAATTCTTCCTTCTATAGCACTTGTTGAAAGGATAATCACTTGGTCAAAAGAAATCCATTTTAAAAGTTCTATTTAACCTCTAAGTGCTTTATAAAACATTAAATTAGACTTTTCCTGTACAACGCTTAAAAAAAGTCCATACTCTTTGTAAAGGGCACTAAATCTAACAAGCAACAAAGTATTCCAATGGCTTTTCACTCTTGTTATACAACTTCCTCATCTTTCAAACTCATATTAAAGGGAAAATGTCATGTGCTATCAGGATATAAAGTTCATTTGAAAATACAAGTATTATTTAATAAGGAAATAAGTTTCTGCATATAATCTTTTTCCTGGAGCAAACAGCATTTTTTAAAAGTCACATCAATTACATCAGATCATATTACCATTGTTAATGCTAGGTTTTATGTTAGATTTTGAATACTGACAGGTGGACACTAAAATCCAAGTAGTCTGTTTCACTACCATCAGTGAAACAGTACAGACAGAGCAAGAAACAGTGGTGAGAGAGTGCAGTCTAAAAGTTTGCAAGTTTTGAGAACTATGGTGAATGAAAGTGCTAGGAGAAAATGAAAAACACTTTTTCTAAAATGAGAATGCCTTTATTAATGAATTAATTAATTACCAGTAATAAAATATACATTACAATTCACTGAATAGTTGTTACAGTTAAATGATTGCTAGTTATATTTACAGTGTATTTTTAAAAAATTGTTCATTTAAAATAGGCTGAAGATGGCTGCACATGGTTGGCTCACCTCTGTAATCCTGGTACTTTGGCAGGCCAGTGCTGGAGTATCACTTGAGGCTAGGAGTCCAAGACCAGCCTAGATGACATAGCAAGACCCTGTCTCTACAAAAAATTTTAAAAATTAGTTGGGTGCAGTGGCATGCACCTGTAGTCCCAGCTACTAAGGAGGCTGAGGTGGGAGGATGGCTTGAGCCTAGGATTTTGAAGTTAAAAGTAGGCTGTGATCACGCCACTGAACTCCAGCCTGGGCCACAGGAGAAGACCCTGTCTCAAAAAAAAAAAATGAAAAAAAGAGAATGGTCCATGCTTTCAGAACTTCATATGTTAACTTATTGATAAGCAAACTGGAGAAAAATAATGATTTCTATTTATAAGCAATAAAAGAGCATAATGAAGATGTATCAAAGTCAAATATGTAAAAAACATTTCATTTTCACCTAGTAATGAGAGAATGGCACAGAAAAAATATCCTAAATATCTAATATTGTCAGATACTCTAATTACCTAATAGCAAATATTCTGAGATGTAATAGTATAAACAATTTAGGTGCTGTAGAGATTACCTCGGTAACATAATAAAGACATTTCTGAACCATAAATGAGGTTTGAGGCAGTCTCATATAATGGGAAAAGCATTCCTGAGGTTGAAGTTGAGTTTATACTTTGAACCTAAAATTATAACTTAAGGATTTAGTAAGTATATAAACTGAAAATCAAGTCTCAAACACAATATATAGTTAATACTTATTTCATAATTGTTTTCATAAGTTTACTGAAAGAAATTGTAAAGTCCTAACTTACAGAGTTTTTAACTGATTCTTGCAGAATTTGATGTAGAACACAATAATTTTTTTTCTTGGCAGAAATAAAATGTTGATTTTCACAGTAATTGCTTCTTTGGGAGAGAATTACAGCATTTTTGCATTATTAACACAGCAGCTTTGCTAGACATCTATTATAAAATTCATTTTAGGAACAGGGCTTACTTTGAATATTATAAACTTCAATAGTATTTTTTAAGATTCATTTTAAGGGATAAAATAAAAGAGTATAAGTTATAGTAAAGAACAGCAATATTTTAAATTGTTTTTAAATTTGTATGGTGTATATTAACTTTGTATTTCAACACACAGTTTGGGGTAAACCAAATTAAATATATTTTGGATAAGTCCAAAACTTTTCAAAGATATTAAACTCTGATATAATCTGTATAAGGTAATTTATTAACTAGACTAAATACTGATATTGTTAGATGGCTAGAAATAATTTCACAAATAATAATCTTTGCATTGTATATAGCTAAGTCTGCTAGTTACTACGTAAATCAAAACAAATCTAAAACAATTTCTCAGGTTACTCCAAAAACAGGACAACAAAAACGAAATCCTTTACATTTTACAAATACATAGGAAAACACAGGCAGCATTATGACCTAAACAGATAATAAAATGTACATAACCCATTAGGTCTGGTCATTTTCTATGCACTTCCTTTGGCTCATTCATTCACTCATTCAACAGGTATGTGCAGCCTTATAGAGAGGATTATAAAGATGAATACAATTCTGATTCTGTGGTCAAGATATTTGCATTTGAGAAAGTTGTAGCAAGATAGCGAACTAGACCCCCCAGCACTTGGCACCCTCACAAAGACAGCCAAAACCTATCAAAACCTCTGAAATACAGCAAAGGCTGTGCAAGGAGGAAAGTTCATAGCCCTAAATGCCTACATCAAAAAGTCTGAATGAGCATAAACAGACCATCTAAGGTCACAGCTCAAGGAACTAGAGAAACAAGAACAAACCAAACCCAAACTCAGCAGAAGAAAGGAAATAACCAAGATCAGAGCAGAACTAAATGAAATTGAAACAAAAACAAAATACAAAAGATAAATGAAACAAAAAGCTGGTTCTTTGAAAATATAAATAAAACTGATAGACCATTAGCAAGATTAACCAAGAAAAATAGAGACAAAATCCAAACAAGCTCAATAAGAAATGAAAAGGGACATATTACAGCTGACACCACTGAAATACAAAAGATCATTCAAGGCTACTATGAACACCTTTAAGTGCCTAAACTAGAAAACCTAGAGAGATGGTTAAGTTCCTGGCAAGATGCAACCCTCCTAGCTTATTTGATACCCTGAGCAGACCAATAACAAGGAGCAAGAATGAAATGGTAATTTAAAAATTACCAACAAAAAAAAGTCCAGGACCAGCTAGATTCACAGCAGAATTCTACCAGACATTCAAAGAAGAATTGGTGCCAATTCTACTGACACTATACCACAAGACAGAGAAAGAAGGAACCCTCCCTAAATCATTCCATGAAGCCAGTATCACCCTAATACCAAAACCAGGAAAAGACATAACCAAAAAAGAAAACTACAGACAGATATCCCTGATGAGCATAGGTGCTAAAATCCTTAACAAGATGCTAGCTAACTGAACCCAACAACGTATCAAACAGATAATCCACCTGAACAGATGATCAAGTGGGTTTCACACCAGGGATGCAGGGATCCAGGCACACAGTGTAAGCTGTGACTGTATCTACCATTCTGGGGTCTGGAGGACGGTGGCCCTCTTCTCACATCTCTACGAGGCGGTGTCCCAGCAGGGACTCTGTGTGAGCGCTTTGACCCCACATTTCCCTTCCACAGTGCTCTAGCAGAGGTTCTTGAGTGCCCCACCCCTGCATCAAACTTCTGCTTTGACATCCAGGTGTTTCCATACATCCTCTGAAATCTATACAGAGGTTCCCAAACCTCAATTCTTGACTGCTGTGTACTCACAGGAACCACATGGAAGCTGCCAAGGCTTGGAGCTTGTGCCCTCGGAATCCACATCCCGAGCTGTACCTTGGCCCGTTCTAGTCTCAGCTGGAGCAGCAAGGATGCAAGGCACCAAGTCCCTAGGCTGCACACAGCACGAGGACCCTGAGCCCAGCCCACGAAACTATTTTTGCCTCCTAGGCCTCTGGGCCTGTGATGGGAAAGGCTGCCCTGAAGACCTTTAACATTCCCTGGAGACATTTTCCCCATTGTCTTGGGGATTAACATTCAGCTCCTCATTACTTATGCAAATTTCCACAGCTGGCTTGAATTTCTCCTCAGAAAATGGGTTTTTCTCTTCTATCTCCTTGTCAGGCTGCAAATTTTCTGAACTTTTATGCTCTGCTTCCCTTATAAAACTGAATGCGTTTAACAGCACCCACCTCACTTCTTGAATGCTTTGCTGCTGAGAAATTTCTTCCACCACATACCCTAAATCATCTCTCTTGAGTTCAAAGTTCCACAAATCTCTAGGGCAGGGGCAAAATGCCACCTGTCTCTGCTAAAACGTAACAAGAGTCGCCTTTGCTCCAGTTTCCAACATGTTCCTCATCTCCATCTGAGACCACCTTAGTCTGGATTTCATTGTTCATATCATTATCAGCGTTTTGATCAAAGCCATTCAACAAGTCTCTAGGGAGTTACAAACTTTCCCACATTTTCCTGTCTTCTTCTAAAGCCCCCAAACTTTTCCAGACTCTGCCTGTTACCAAGTTCCAAAGTCACTTCCACATTTTTGGGTAGCTTTTCAGCATCGCCCCACTCCACCAGTACCAATTTACTGTATTAGTCCGTTTTCACACTGCTGATAAAGACACACCCAAGCCTGGGAAGAAAAAGAGGTTTAATGGACTTACAGTTCCATGTGACTGGCAAGGCCTCACAATCATGGCAGAAGACAAGGAGGAACAAGTCATGTTTTACATGGATGGTGGCAAGAGAGAGTTAATGCAGGGGAACTCCTGTTTATAAAACCATCAGATCTCATAAGACTTATTCACTATCATGAGAATAAGCATGATAAAGACCTACCCCCATGATTCAATTACCTCCCACTGGGTCCCTCCCATGACATGTGGGAACCGTGGGAGTTAAAATTCAAGATGAGATTTAGGTGGGGACACAACCAAACCATATCAGATGGTGCTAACTGCATGCCTTCCTGTACCCGATCTTTCCACTGACACCACCACTGCACTGACACTAGTGGCCTCTCCGCAAACGCTGCGCTGCCACTGCTGTCAGTGTGAATGGAGGGCACATGCCCAAAAGATCTCTGCCCCTGCTATGACACCGGCAATGGTGCAAACACATGCTTGGATGCCACCACACCAGCACACCCAATACCTCAGCTTGGGCAACGAGCATGCACCCTGCCAGACTGCTGCTGCTGCTGGCGTAAGTGAACCAGCACGAATCTCACTGCCACCTTCCTATGAAGCATTTTGGCTGACACCACTCATGGGAGTGTTGTGACCAGCAATCTGGGAACAACTCACCCCCTCCAGTAATCAGGAGGGACCAGAGAACAAAGCTAGGGCCTGAAACCAGCCCCCCAGAGTTAGGGCATGCAGCTCGGGAGTCCTGAGCTAAGCCATGGCCCCCCAAAATCTTCCAGAATCAAAGCCAGTCAACCATGCCCACCTTATACCATAATCAAGGCCCCAAGGATATCAAAGCGGATAAAAGAACAAAAAACTCATCCAAAGGATGACAACTTCTAAGACTGAAGGGACATCAGCCCACGAAGATAAAAACATCCAGTGCAAGAACTCTGGCAATTCAAAAAGCCAGAGTGTCTTCTTACCTCCAAATGGCCACACTAGTTCCCCAACAATCTTTTTTTTTTTTTTTTTTTTTTTTTGGATGGAGTTTCCGTCTTGTTGCTCACGCTGGAGTGCAATGGCGTGATCTCGGCTTATTGCAGCCTCCCAGGTTCAAGTGATTTTCCTGTCTCAGACTCCTGAGTGGCTGGGATTAACGGCGCACGCCACCATGCTTGGCTAATTTTGTATTTTCAGTAGAGACAGGGTTTCACCATGTTGGCTAGGCTGGTATGAAACTCCTGACCTCAGGCGATCTGCCCGCCTCATCCTCCCAAAGTGCTAGAATTACAGGCATGAGCCACTGTGCCCGGCCAACATGGTTCTTAACCAGGCTACAATAACAGAAATACAATATGGAATATGGATAAAAACGAAGATCACTAGGATTCAAGAGAAAGTTGAAACCCAGTGCAAGGATTCTAAGGAATACAATAAAACTATACAGGAGATGAAAGACAAAATGGCTATTTCAACAAAGAACTAAACTGAGCTGATAGAGCTGAAAAACTCAGAGAATTTCAGAATACAATCGCAAGTATCAACAGCACAAATGAGCAAGCTGAGGACGGAATCTCAGAGGTCAAAGACTGGCTCTTTGAAATAACTCATTCAGAAATGAAGAAAAAACAATAAAGAATGAACAGAACCTATGTAAAATATGGGACTATGTAAAGGGAACCAAATCTACGACTCACTGGTGTCCCTGTAAGGGAGAGAAAGCAAGCAACCTCGAAAGTGTATTTCAGAATATCATCCGTGAAAATTTCCCCAAGCTTGCCAGAGAGGCCAACATTCAGAGTCAGGAAATGCAGAGAACCCCTGTGAAATGCTATACAAGATGACCATCCCAAGACACATGAGATTCTCTAAGGTCAAAATGAAAGGAAAAAAAAGCTAAGGCAGCTAGAGAAAAGGGCCAGATCACCTATAAAGGAAACCCCCAATAAGGCTTAAAACAGCAGAAACCCTACAAGCCAGGAGAGATTCAACCTATATTCAGCATTCTTTAAAAAAAAAAAAAAAAAAAAAAAAGAACTTCCAACCAAGAGTTTTATATCCAGCCAACTTCAGCTTCATAAGCAAATAAGTAAGACATCCTTTTCTGAAAGGGAATTCATGACCACCAGAACCACCTCAATAGAGGTTCTGAAGGGAGTACTAAATGTGGAAAGAAAAGACTGTTACTGGCCACTATAAAAATATACTTAAATACATACACCAGTGACACTGTAAAGCAACCACACAAACAAGTCTACGTAATAACCAGCTAACAGTAGGATGACAGGATCAAATCCATACATATCAGTATCAACCTTGAATGTAAACAGGCTAAATGCCCCAATTAAAAGGCACAAAGAAGCAAGTTGCATAAAGAATCAAGAACCAATGGTAAGCTGTCTTCAACAGATCCATCTCACATGCAGTGACATCCATAGGCTCAATGTGAAGAGATGGAGGAAAATCTACCAAGCAAATGGAAAACAGAAGAAAGCAGAGTTTGGTATTCCAATTTCAGACAAAACATTCTTTAAAGCAACAAAGATCAAGAAAGACAAGCCCTTTACATAGTGGTAAAGGGCTCAATTCAACGAGAGGATCTAACTATCTTAAATATATATGCACCCAATAGAGGAACACATGTTCTTAGAGACCTATGAAGAGACTGACATAACCACACAGTCCAATAGTGGAAAACTAGTAAATTGACCACTAGCTAGACTACTAAAATAAGAGACAATATCCAAATAAACTCAATCAGAAATGACAAAGGGGGTGCTACGACTGACTCCATGGAAATAGAAAAAAAAAAAAGCCCTCAGAAACTACTACAAATACCTCTATGCACACAAGCTAGAAAACCTAGAAGAAACAGATAAATTCCTGGAAACATACAACCTCCCATGACTGAACCAGGAAGAAAGTGAATCCCTGAACTGACCAATAATAAGTTTTGAAATTGAATAAGTAATAAAAAGCCTAACAACAAGAAAAAGCCCAGGACCAGCTGGATTCAAAGCCAAATTCTACCAGATGTATAAAGAAGAGCTGGTACCATTCCCACTGAAACTATTGCAAAAAAAAAAAAAAAAAAAAAAAACAAAGGGGGGGGGGGGGGTCTCCTCCCAAACTCATTCTATGAGGCTAGCATCATCCTGATACCAAAAACTAACAGAGAAACAACAAAACAAGAAAACAGTAGGCCAATATTTTTTTATGAACATGGATCCAAAAATCCTCAACAAAATACTAGCAAACTAAATCCAGCAGTACATCAAAAAGTTAATCCACCATGATCAAGTAGTCTTTATCCCTGGTATGCAATGTTGGTTCAACATACACAGATCAATAAATGTGATGCACAACATAACAGAACTAATAAAACAAACCACATGTGCCAGGCGTGGTGGCTCACGATTGAAATCCCAGCACTTTGGGAAGCCGTGGTGGGTGGATCACTTGAGGCCAAGAATTCAAGACCAGCCTGGCCAACATGGTGAGACCCTGTCTCTACTAAAAATACAAAAATTAGCCAGGCATGGTGGCAAGCACCTGTAATCCCAGTTACTTGGGTGAGGCTGAGGCAAGAGAATTGTTTGAACCCAAGAGGCAGAGGTTGCAAAGAGCCAAGATTACACCACTAAACTCCAGCCTAGGCAACAGAGCGAGACTGTCTCAAAACAAAAACCAAACAAAAACAAAAACCACCTGATCATCTTCATACAGGAAAGGCTTTCAAAAAAAAATTCAATATTCCTTCATGTTAAAAACCCTCAACAAACTAGACACTGAAGGAACATATTTCAAAAAAATAACAGCCCTCTATGAAAAACCCACTGCCAACATCATAGTGAATGGGCAAAGCTGGAAACATTCCCCTTGAAAGCTGGAACAAGATAAAGATGCCTTCTCTTACCACTCCAATGCAACATGGTACTGTTAAGTCCTAGCCAGAGAAATCCAGCAAGAGAATGAAATAAAAGGCATCAAAATAAAAAGAGAGGAAGTCAAACTATCTATGTTTGCAGACAATTTAACTCTCCACCTAGAAAACCCCATAGTCTCTGTCCAAAAGCTTCTTGATCTGCTAAACAACTTCAGCAAAGTTTTAGGCTAGTAAATCAATGCAGAAAAATCAATAGCATTCCTATACACCAAAAACATCCAAGGTGAAAGCCAAATTAAGAATGAAATCCCATTCACAACTGCCACAAAAAGAATAAAATACTTAAGAATACAGGTTATCAGGGAGGTAAAAGACCTCTGAAATATTTCATAATTATAAAATGTTGTTCAAAGAAATCAGAGATGATACAAACAAATGGAAAAACATTTCATGTTCATGATTAGGAAGAATCACTATAGCTAAAATGGCCACACTGCCCAAAGCAATCCACAAATTCAGTGATATTTCTATCAAACTACCAAGGACATTCTTCACAGAATTAGGAAAAAAACTATTTTAAAATTCATATGGAACCAAAAAATAGCCTGAATAGCCAAGGCAATCCTAAGCAAAATGGGCAAAGCTGGAGGCATTTGGCATTACCAGACTTCAAACTATACTGCAATGCTACAGTAACCACAACACCATTGTACCGGTACAAATATAGACACACAGACCAATGGAACAGAATAAGGAGCACAGAAGTAATGCTGCACACCTACAACTCTCTGATCTTTGACAAACCTGACAAAAACAAACAATGGGGAAAGGATTCCCTATTCAGTAAGGGGTGCTGGGATAACTTGCTAGCCATATGCAGATGACTGAAACTGGATCCCTTCCTTACACTATACATAAAAATCAACTCAAGATGGATGAAATACTTAAATGTAAAAACAAAACGATAAAACTCCTAGAAGATAACACAGGAAATACCATTCTGGAGATGGGATCTGGCAAAGATTTCATGATGAAGACACTCAAAGCAACTCCAAGAAAAAGAAAAATTGGCAAATGGGACATAATTAAACTAAAGAGTTTCTGCACACCAGAAGAAGTTATCAACAGCATAAACAGACAACCTACAGAACAGGAGAAAGTGGCTGCAAATTATACATTTGACAAAGGTCTAATATTCAGAATTTGTAAGAAACTTAAATAAGCAAAAAAAAAAACTCCCTTTAAAAGTGGGCAAAGGACATGAACCGACACTTTTCAAAAGCAGACATACATGTGGCCCACAGCATAAGAAGAAATGCTCAACAGCGTTAATCATTACAGAAATGCAAATCAAAACCACAAGATGCTACCTCACACCAATCAGAATGCCTATTAAAAAGACATAAAATAATAGATTTTGGCGAGATTGTGGAAGAGAAGAAAGTTTATACACTGCCAGTAGGAGTGTAAATTAGTTCTGCCAATGTGGAAGGCAGTCTGGCGATTTCTCAAAGAGCTTAAAACAGAATTAATTACCATTTGACCCAGCCATCCCATTATTGTGTATACACCCCAAAAAATATAAATTGTTCTACCATAAAGACACACAGACGTGTATGTGCATCATAGCACTATTCACAGGAGCAAAGAAATGGAATTAACCTAAATGTCCATCAATGGTAGAACAGATATAGAAAATGTGGCATGCATATATATATATATTTATACACACACACACACACACACACACACACACACACACACACACCATGGACTATTAAGCAGCCATAAAAAAGAATGAGATCATGTGCTTTGCAGAAACATGAATGGAGTTGGATGCCATTATCCTAAGCAAACTAACACAGGAAGAGAAAACCAAATAGAGCCATGTTCTCACTTACAAGTGGGTGGTAAACACTGAGTACATATAGACACAAAGAAAGGAACAACATCTCCCAGACACTACCACAGCCACGATTGCCAGGCATGGTGTTGGTGGGTTGGTGTCTGTGTCGTTAAATTGCACGACATGGCTGAGCAACATCCCTTCGGTGTCCCTGCTGGCACCCCTGGGGATCCTGTCCTGGGGAACGGAGTGGCTGGCGCCAGTGAAGAAGACCCAGCTGCGGCCTTCTTGGCACTGCAAGAGAGCAAGACTATGGGTATCAAGAACAACAAGGTCGCCTTCGACATCCTGGATGGTGTCACCCCCAGGCCCCAGCCACAAGGTGAACAGCTGGGAGTCCAGATGCTGTTGACGGAGTGATGATGGTGACTACTACCAGGAAAGTAATGGTCCAAGAGACAATTATGCAGCTATTTCACAAGTGGATCGATTCCCATCCAGCCTGAAAATATATGCAGATGCAAAGAAGAGAAAATGGAATGCTTAGCAGCCCTTGCTGCTTATTCTCCGAAGCAAGAAGCAGAGTGGAAAGAAAAAGCGATAAATGAGCTAGAAGAATGGCGTGCAAGACAAGACGAGCAGCTACAGAAAAGAAAGGCAAACTACAGGGCAGAAGATTTTGTAAATGACATTGACGAGTCATCCCCCTGCACTGGGTGGTAACAGGTGGCCCGGTTGTTTGACTGTAACCCCAAGTCAGCAAGCAGGGCAAAGAGGTCTCCTGTATGCACTCAGTCCTCAACTCCCTCAAGCAGGCGACCCCTGGTGCACTGACAAACCGCTCCTGGAAACACTACATCTGCAGTATCTTAATCCTACCTAGTGAAATTCTACAAAGTAACTGGATTAATTACGCTGAGTTCTTTTGGACCAAACTTTTTTGTGTTTAGAGCTGATCATTGTTTGTGATTGCACGTTTCCTTCAACTGTGTCCTCCCTGGCATACAGAGAGGAGAGGAGAAGGAGGAAATGGAAGGGAGGGAAATCTCCTAACAGCAGCCTC
Source organism: Homo sapiens (assembly GCF_000001405.40). Classification (NCBI taxonomy): domain Eukaryota; kingdom Metazoa; phylum Chordata; class Mammalia; order Primates; family Hominidae; genus Homo; species Homo sapiens. Next base: position 15,688,680 of record NC_000008.11, on the reverse strand, counting down.
AACGTGTGCTTTTGTGCGTTATTCTGAGAATAAATTTCTATTTCAAACAAAAACAAAAGACCAAAGACAGAAACAACAGATACTAGGGTATACTTGAGGGTGAGGATCATAAAACTACCCATCGGGTACTATGCTGATTACCTGGGCAATGAAATAATCTGTACATCAAACCCCTGTGACACACAATTTAACTATATAACAGATCTGCACAAGTACCCTTGAACCTAAAAGTTAAAAAAAAAAAAAAAAAGAATACTGAAGTGTTAGTTTTTGAATGTTTATTTTATGTAAGGTTACGAAAAACTTACTAAAGTCAGAGACTAGCATTATGTGGAGTCAAAACCTAATGATGCTTGATAAACATGCATTGAAAACAATTTTTCTGAGTTACTGAAATGTACATCTTATTCTGAAATTGTAGAGTTATAAATGAGAAACGCTTTTTTCAATCCTGAATGTATATAATTATGAGTATCTTTAATATAATTGTACTCAACTTTATTGATACGATGAAAATAATATCTTTGGTTTTTTTAAGACCACAGGACTCTTTCCAATGTACTACACAATTTTCCTAATAGGAAAAAAATTAAAGAATATGAAAAAGTTAACAGGTAGTTTATCCCTTTCTCTGTGGGAGGACTGATTCTTCTCTTTTTGTTCTTATCCTTTCTCCTCTGATGTAATATTTCTTCTTGATACTCAGAGAATAATTAACTGTATTAGATGAAGTTTGACATATTAAAACACATTCTCATTATGCAGTTCCATAATCCCTCTGTGCATGTGGTTTTAATTACAAACAAATGTTAGCAGGGAAAACAATTTTTTTCTGATATACTTAACATTTTGAAAGGCTAAAGATACAATCTGAGTTCCTATTTGCAAAGAAAGATTTATTTATCTATGCAGTATCATTTATTTAGTATCTGCCACGTGTGAAGTGCTTTGTCATGAAGTAAGGGTACAAATCACAAGGTTCTTCGTTGTAATTAATTGGCAGGATCATAGATAGGCAGCAACAGTTGAAGGGAAGTGTAAGAGCAGTCTGGGCTGGCAATCAAGATTCAGTCAGACGTTAGGATCAAGAATGCATGTAGTTTAAATGGTGACACTAAAAATTAAAACCAGGTGGAAAGAAGGAATGAGCGGCAACAACAGATGCTGAAGATGGAGTTCTACCAAAGCTAACTAGACAGACACAAATATGAAAAAATAAAAAGGAATATAAAGATTAAGGCAGAGTTTGAAAGACATCAGATGCAGTGTCACAGCCATAAAATGACCATGGTGCTGAGGCAAAATTCTAAAACAATTGCAGCCTCAAATATCATGTAACTCAATAAGAAGCGAGGCTCTGAAGACTGAGACTTGAGGCTAACCGATATCATATTATGTATCCCCACTAGATGATGAGCTGCATGATGTATCTGTACTACTACTGGAAACAGAGTACCTAACAAATATGTTAATCAGATGGAAAAATAAAGGCATAAATAAATAAGAGGGAAGAATCTCAATTCCAAATACTAACATCAAGATTTCTGTATATCCTTAATGTATGTCAATTACTCTTGTCTTACCATTTTTTTGTTTTTTGTTTTTTTTGAGACGGAGTCTTGCTCTGTCACCCAGGCTGCAGTGCAGTGGCACGATCTCGGCTCACTGCAAGCTCCGCCTCCCGGGTTCAGGCCATTCTCCTGCCTCAGCCTCCCGAGTAGCTGGGACCGGACTACAGGCGCCTGCCACCATGCCCGGCTAATTTTTTGTATTTTTAGTAGAGACGGGGTTTCACTGTGTTAGCCAGGATGGTCTCGATCTCCTGACCTTGTGATCCGCCAAACTCGGCCTCCTAAAGTGCTGGGATTACAGGCTTGAGCCACCACGCCCGGCCAGCTGGGTTTTTTTGTTTAAAAATTTCAGGATAATGTTAACATTCTCTTTGCTGGTGGTATGAAGACTGTAATAAAGCTACTGAATGCCCTTTGTAAATATTTCTGTTGAAAATATAATAATTATATTTAATCTAAATCAGTCTATATGATTTTTAAGTTTTTTAAAAAATGGGATGATAGCATCCTTAATGACTCTCAAAGACCTAGCATGTGCAAAATCCCTGAGGCATGAAAGTGAAGAAAGTTGGATAAAGTACAATATGGTATGGCTGCCTAAGAAATAGAAAAAAAAAATGCCTCGATGATAAATTTTAGACTAAATCAGCAGGTCATTTTGCAATAAAATGTTCTGCATGTGCATGCAGAATATAACGCTTAGTTTTACTCACAACTGAATTGTAATGCAGTGAAAATTTTTGGACTATATCTGGCAAACCCATAGCAATCCTCAAGCAGTAGCTAAAATCCAAATCTTGAAAATAACGCATTTGTTCACGGTGGGAGTTACAGCCTACGCATAAGCTTTATTTCATTAAATGCATATTGTTAAAGATTATTGCTTTTTTAACAACAAAAATTGTTTTTATGTCCTATGTAACCATATGTTTGTATAGTTTCCCTTTAGCTACACAATAATGACTGCTTTTGTGTTGATTTTCATGCTGTTAAGTGGACCATTAGTACTTGACTTGTGCCATTACATAGTATCTTAATAGTGACAAACAAATAAACTTGCAAAGCAGCACCGCATCACACTGCCTGCACTATTAATTTTCTTTATATTCTCTGTATTCATTTACATTTAAGCTCAATGAAGAAACACTTTGTCAATATCTTCAGGTTTTCCTAGACATGTTTGATTTCACAATTAATATGAGCAGAGTCACTAGCCTTACAAATACCACTAATTTTTCAAAAAAAAAAAAACCTAAGAACTAAATGAATACCCAACAAAATACTCCTGTCTTTTACTAAGCTTGTCAGGCCCAATTTGCTCAATGCAGTTGGAAAATTAAGCTATTAAAGATAGAATCAGAATTTCAGAGCTCATATAGGTCTGTTATATATTGATTCTGTTGACTGCCACAAACTATGCGCCATTCTAAACAGTGTTTCCCCCAAGTGTACACTGTTGATGTTAAGGTCAATGTGTAGTAGAAATAAATAGCCCAGAGGACTGCAGTGAATACCACTTTTGAAAAATACAATTCAAAACACAGGCCCTGTTGACAGAGCATCAATAATAAACTTTCTGTTAAGGGAACAAATTATCTATCCAACTGTTTAAGAATTTTTAAAATCTTCAAGATGTCTAGAAACAGCCGGGAACTGTCCACCAAGAGGAACCAAAATATCAAATAAACCATCACACTCTGAATAAAGATTTTGTGAGAAAGCATCAAGTCAATAGAGAAGAGATGGACACTGTGATTAAAGAGGGAGGAAGCCAGGAAGCCACTCAGAGTCGCTGGGCACTAGGACCGGCCTCCTGTACTGAACCAGACCTGAGGAAGCGGTGAGTGAAGGAATTTCGGCAGCACACTCCCACCACATACCTCTGGGATCCCAGCTACAGGTTTCCCAAGACCCCCAAAGACCTCTGAACCGGCAGGGAAGCCACTCAGAGAATAGGCAGAAGCACAGCTCAAACTTGCATGCACCCCCAAATGTTTCACTACGCAGTGCAGCTCCAGCAAAATGTGACCAAAGGTGTTCACGCCCCGAGGTGTGCCATGCTGTACTGAGTGGCTGTAGCTACTGCTGTCTGCTAGGCTGCAAGAGAGCAGGGCCACCATTGCCACAGGACTGGGGTGCATCTGATCCATGTAACCCCGTGGCCCCTCCTAAGCCTGCCTGCCTGAACGATCTTGCAGAAGTGTGCCCACAGCACAGCCTCCATTGCCCCATCTGAGTGTTTTGCTGGAGGTCTAGGAGCAGTCTGCTCTCCTGCAGCACAGCTGCTGCTTTACATCCAGGGGCTAGAGAACAAACCCCTGGATCTGGTCCCAACTCCCCAGGACTTGACCACACCACCCAGGGATACCAAGCTGCAGATCTGTGGCCTTAGCTTGAGTGGGGAAGCAGCCCTCAATCTCAGAACACAGAGAAGACTGTGGCATGGGCTCATGTGCTGACATCAGAGCTGGGCATCCCTCCTTTCATAAGACCAGTCCGGGAGGAACGCAGCCTGACAGCCAGCTGCAGCTTCTTCCCCAGGGAGTCCCAAGGCATCAAATGCCTAGAACAGTGATCTAGGTGCAGAAGGCTTACGACAAGCTTAGCCGGTTGGGCCTGCTCCTGGTGCAGACACTGGCGGGAGACCCACCAGGTCAGGAGAACTCAAGCCTCTTGGGCTGCCAGGCTGAAAATATACCAGTTGTACACACGGTGCCACTGCCCTGGTCAGGATCCTCTGCCCTTCCTCTACTGCATCACCAGACCACCAGTGAACACACTCCACAACTCACTCTGACTCTGGCAAATACAGAGGAACAGTGGGTTCCCAAGGAGTTGTGACTCTCTTGGACTGCTCTATGGGAGGCAGAAGCACAGCCCATTAGAGCCTGCCCCCCACCCACCCCTGGGGCAAGGTAAACATTGGAAAGGCACCAGTAGTTGAATGGGTTACCACCAAATCTCAGAAACCAGAGAGGCAGTCATATATGGCCCCCGCCTTCCCTCCCCAGAGCACTACGGTGAATGCAGTGAAATACTAAAGTGGAGAGCACGACTAAGATCCTATTTTCAGGCCCTTATCTCTTAAGTGTCAGCTGGTGGACTGCACTCTGAATTACACCACCAAACAAAACCACATTGCTTCAGCACTCAGAGCCTGTGAAACCCACCACAGGAACCTATTTACAACCAAAGAAACCATACAAAGTCTTGGCCATATGAAAGTACTCAGAAACGAAGCCAGCTGACTATACACACCATATACCATAGTCAAACCTTCAAGGAAAAAAGAACATAAAAATAAAAAGCCCCAACAAAACAACAGCAAATTCAAAAAGAAAAAGAAGCACCAGTTCCTTCTGAGAAGGAATCAGTGCAGGAAGTACAAGAATTGAAAAAGTCAGTGTTTTGTAATATCCAAAGGATTGCACTAGCTCCCTAACAATCGATCCTAACCAGGATGAAATGTCTGAAATTAAAGATATAAATTCAGAACCTGGACGGCAAAGAAGCTCAATGAGATACAAGAGGAAGCTGAACTCCAATCCAAGGAAGTCAGAAAAGCAATCCAAAATTTGAAATACAACAAAGATATAGTAAGAAAGAAACAAACTAAACTTCTGGAATTGAGAAATCCACCATAGGAATTTCAAATTACAGTTGGAAGTCTTAACAATAGACTAGATCAAGCAGAAGAAACAATTTCAGAGCCTGAACATCACTCCTTCAAATCAACCCAGTCAGATAAAAATAAAGAAAAAATAATTTTAAGAAATGAACAAAGCCTCTGAGAAATAAGAGATTGTGTAAAACAACCAAATCTATGATTCATTGTGCGTTCTTAAGAGAAAGCAGAAAACATGGAAAACATATTTGAGGATATAACCCACAAATATTTTCCCAATCTCGCTAGAGAAATGAAAGTGCAAATACAAGAAATGCAGAGATTCCCTGCAAGAAACTACCCAAGTTGACCATCCCCAAGGCAAATAGTCATCAGCCTTTCCAAGGTCAACGCAAAAGAAAAAATCTTAAAGGCAGCTAGAGAAAAGGGTCATATCACCTCTGAAGGGAACCTCATCAGGCTAACATAGTACTTCCTATCAGAAAACATACAAGCCAGAAGAGAATGGGGCCTGCTTTTAGAATTCTTCAAGAAACAAAATTCCAACCAAGAATTGCATCTCATGCCAAACTAAGCTGGTAAGTGAAAAAATAACGCCTTTCCCAGAGAATCAATCACTAAGAGAATTCATTACCACAAGACTGGCCTTACAACAGCTACAAAAAAAAAAAAAGAAAGTTCTAGACATGGAAACAAAAGAACAACAGCTGCCACCACAGAAACACACATAAGCACATGGCCCAGAGACTCTATAAAGCAAGTACACAATCAAGAATAAAAGTTAACCCAGCTAACACCACCACGATAGGAAGAAAACTTCACATATCAATATTAACGTTGAATGTAAACAGTCTAAATGCTCCACTTAATAGACACACAGGGGAAAACTGCATTAAAATATGTTCCGTCTCCAATAGATCCATTTCACATGTAACAATACTCACAGGCTCAAAGTAATGGAAAACGATCTAACACTCAAATGAAAAACCAAACAGAGCAGAGGTTGTACTTACACGAGATAAAAGTGACTTTAAAACGACAACAGTTAAAAAAGGACAAAGAAGGTAATTACATAATGATAAAGAGTTCGATTCATCCAGAAGACTTAAGTATCTTAAATATATATGAATCCAAAATTAGAGCACCCAGATTCATAAAACATTCATAAAAAAATTCTAGACTTACAAAAAGACTTGGACAGGCACACAATAATAGTGGGGAATGTCGAGACCCCACTCACAGCATTAGACAGATAACTGAGGCAGAAAATTAACAAAGAAATTCTGAACTTAAATTCAATGCAATGGACCTAACTGACATCTACAGAATACTCCACACAACAACTGCAGAATAAACATTCTTCTCATCTGAACATGAAACATACTCGAAGATCAATCACATCCTTGGTCACAAAGTAAATCTTAATAAATTCAAAACAATCAAAATCATACCAAGCATATTCTCAGATCACAGTGGAATAAAAATAGAAATTAATATCAAGAGGAAATCTCAAAAACACAAAATTACATAGTAACTAAACAACTTGCTCCTGAATGATTTTTGGGTAAATAGCAAATTAAGACAGAAAACAAAAAATTCTTTGAATCAAATGACAGCAAAGATACAACATACCAAAATCTTTGGGATACAGTAAAAGCAATATTAAGAGAAATGTTTATAGTGTTAAATACCTAGATCAAGAAGACAAAAATCTCAACAGTCTAACATCAAAGCTAGAGAAATCAGAAAAACAAGAAAAAACTAGCCCAAAAGGTAGCAGACAAAAATAAATAACTAAAATCAGAGCATAATTGAATGAAATTGAAGCCCAGAAATCCATATAAAGAATCAATGAAACCAAAAGTTGGTTCTTTGAAAGGATAAACAAGATCGAAAGACTACTGGCTAATAAAGAAAAAAAAAAAGAGAAAAGATCCAAATAAGCACAATCGGAAATGACAAAGGTGACATTACAACTGATGCCACAGAAATAAAAAAGATACTCGGCACTATATTAATACCTTGTTGCACAAAAACTAGAAAATCTAGAGTAAATGGATGAATTCCTGGAAACATACACTCTTCCAAGACTGAATCAGGAAGAAACTGAAACCCTGAACAGACAAATACTGACTTCTGAAATTGAATCAGTAATAAAAAACCTACTAACCAAAAAAAGCCCTGGACCAGATGTATTCAGATGAATTCCATAAAATATATAAAGAAGAACTGGTACCAATCCTACTGAAACTATTCCAAAAAAAAAGGAGGACGGAATCCTCAGATGAATTCAAGATGGATAATAAAGAAGAGCTGACATCAATTTTACTGAAACTATTCCAAAAAAAAAAAAAAATCAAGGATGAAGGAATCCTCCCTAACACGTTCTATGTAGCCAGCAGCACCGATATCAAAACCTGGCAAAGACACAACAACAAAAATTTACACACCAATATCACTAAGGAACATAGATGTAAAAATCCTCAACAAAATATTATTATAGCAAATTGAATCCAACAGCACATTCAAAGGTTTAATTCACTATAATCAAGGAGGTTTCATTTCTGGGATGCCAAGTTGGTTCAACATACACAAATCAATAAATGTAATACACCACATAAACATAATTAAAAACAAAACCATATCATCACAATAGGCACAGAAAAAGCTTTCAATAATGTCCAGCATCTGTTCATGATAAAAATCCTCAAACACATCAAAGGAATATACTTCAAAATAGTAAGAGTCATCTATGACAAACCCACAGGCAACATCATACTCAACAGGAGGCAAAAGCTGGAACCATTCTCCCTGAGAACTGGAACAAGACAAGGATGTCCACTCTCTACTACTATTCAGCATAGTACTGGAAGTCTTCATGAGAGCAACAAGGCAAGAAAAAGAAACAGAAGACATCCAAATAGGAAAAGAATAAGTCAAAGTATCTCTCTTTGCAGACTATATGATTCTGTATCTAGAAAACCCTAAATACTCTACCAAAAGGCTTTATAAACGATTTCAGTAAAGTTTCAGGAATCAATCTATGAAAATTAGTAGCATTTCTAAAACACCAATAACGTTCAAGTCAAGAACCAAATCAAGAACACATTCTTATTCACAACTGCCACAAACATACACACACACATACACACACAAATTACCTAGGCACACATGTAACCAAAGAGGTGAAAGATCTCTATAAGGACAACTACAAAACACTGCTGAAATAAATCATAGATGACACAAATAAATGGAAAACCAACCCATGCTCATGGATTGGAAGGCTCACTATCATTAAAATCGCCATTCTGCCCAAAGCAATCTACGGGTTCAGTACTATTCCTCTCAATTTATCATGATTTTTCACAGAACTAGAAAAAAAAAAGCTATTCTAAAATTCATGTGGAACCCAAACAGAGAACAAATAGCCAAGGTAATCCTAAGCAAAAATAACAAAGCTGGAGGGATATTACCCAACATCAAACTATACTACAAAGCAACAGTAACCAAAACAGCATGGTATTGGTACAAAAATAGACATGCAGACCAATGGAACACAATAGACGACCCAGAAGTAAAGTTACACATCTACAACCACCTGATCTTTGACAAAGTCTACACAAACAATGGGGAATAAACACCTATTCAATAAATGGTGCTGGAGTAACTGGCTAGCCATATGCAAAAGAATGAAACTCGATCCCTAGCTTTCCATATATACAAAATTAACTCAAGATGGATTAAAGACTTAAAAATACCTAAAACTATAAAAACCCTAGATGAAAACCTAAGAAATATCCTTTTGGACACTGGCATAGGCAAACATTTTATGACTAAGTCTTCAAAAGCAACTGCAAATAAAACAAAAATTGACAAGTGGAACCTAATTATACTGAAGAGCTTCTACACAGCAAAAGGAACTATCAATTGAGTAAATTGACAACCTACACAACAGGAGAAAATACAAACTATGTATCTGATAAAGGACTAATATCCAGAATCTATAAGGAACTTAAAAAACTTAAGCAAAAAATAACCCCATTAAAAAGTGGGCAAAGGATATGAACTGATACGTGTCAAAAGAAAACATGCAAGTGGTCAATAAACATGAAAAAATGCTCATCAACACTAATCATCAGAGAAACGCCAATCAAAACTACAATGAGACACCATTTCCCACAAGTCAGAACGGCTATTACAGAAAAGTCAAAAAAAAAAGATGCTTCCAAGGCTGTGGAGAAAAGGGAATGCTTATACACCACTGCTGGGAATGTAAATTAGTTCAGCCACTGTGGAAAGTACTTTGGAGATTTTTCAAGGAACTAAAATTAGAACTGCCATTCTACCTAGCAATCTCGTTACTGGGTATATACATAAAAGAAAATAAACAGTTCTACCAAAAAGACACATGTACTTGTATGTTCACTGTAGCGTTATTCACAATAGCAAAGACATTAAATCAACCTAGGTGCTCATCCACGGTGAATTAAATAAAGAAAATACGGTACATATACACCAAGGAATACTATGCAGCACAATAAAATCATGTCCTCCAAATCAACATGAATGCAGCTAGAGGTGCAAATTCACACAGAAACAGAAAACCAAATATTTTATGTTCTCACAAGTGGGAGCTAAACCTTGGGTGCATACGAACATATACATTAGAACAACAGATGCTACGGACTCCAAAAAGAGGGAGTGAGGGAAGGAGGCCAAAAGCTGAAAAAATTCCTATCTGTGTGATGGCCTCAGTAATGCCCAGTCCTCAGCATCACACAATATACTCTTGTAACAACCTGCACATGTACTCCATCAATTTAAAATTTTTAAAAAGACTTGTTAAAATGTGAAATAAAGACAAAATTTCCTATAGAGATAGATGTTCTTAAATATGCGTACATTTTTCTACTTTATTCTGAAGGATTGTTTACAAGACATATGATATTGGCTTAAAAATAAAACTATATTTAATTGATGAGACTTTTATTTGTTGCTTTTTTTCCAGGGCATATCTCGAAATAAAACCAATACCCAATGTGGTTTTTTCATTATTTTTTTCCTCTCCTTTGGAATCTACTAAAAAAAAATAAACTGATATAAATTGTAGTAAATACAGTCTATGAGTAGTATACTACCCATATTTCTTTGCCCTTAATGCCTTAGTGTGTTCCAGCCTGACTTCCACCACCAGCACCTGCATTTCTTTGACTAGATGGCTTTCTTTGACAGACAAAGTCCACCAGTGCTGGAGAAGTAATAACTTTGCCAAGAGAACAGCACTCAGCAAATGGCTGATGAGATCTGGCGTATATATACCTCAGCTCCCTTACCACTGTAGTAGGAAAGTTGACATACATGCCCTACACAGGCTCCCAGAGATCTCATAGCAGAAATAAGGTTCAGTGGCTCACAATACTGACTGGATAAACATGTTTTTTGACTGCTTTCCTTCCTAGACTCAGTTTCCCTCTCTTCTCCCATGTTTCCTTAACCTCCAATATGAACTTCTTTCACTTAAATCACTGTCTTTGGATCTGTTCTGAAAGGACTTCAAAATAAGACACGTGTGTTTTCAACTTTTAAAAGTGCTTATGCAGACGAGGCCTCTCCAACCAGTGGATGTCTCTGTCTTTCTCTTTCTGTTCCTCCCACCCATGGCACCCTTCTTAGTGCCTCCAGCATCTGCCTATCTTACTACTCCCCACCTTTCCTGCCCCTGCACTAAGCCTACTGCTGGCTTGGCCCTGGTAGCTATGTGTCATAGAACCTGGCTCTGTCTGACACCACCTTCCCTCTTTGCCTTATGGCACTGCTATCTACCAGTTTTGTGCTGATATGGGCATGGACAGAGCCATTCTCAGCCCTGTATTTATTATCAGATTTTATCTACCAAAAACTACAAACTAAGAAAAGCAGAATTCAACTCATTTTACAGAAGAAGAACAGAGAGAATAAGTAACTTCCCCAAAAAAGACAGACCTGGTAAGAGTCAGAGTTTGGAAAAGAACCCTGCTCTGTTTTCTTTCTGTTTCTCTTTGCCTGCACACTTCAGGACAAAGGCATAAAAATGTCTCTGTGAGCCAGAGTCTTTACTTTCTCTTATCAAAATCTCTTTGTAAGCATATAAAATGTCACAGATTAAATCATATTTACTAACGCATAGTAAAAGAAAACCCATTTACAGATGGGCACAGTGGCTCAGGCCTGTAATCCGAGAACTCAGGGAGGCCAATGCAGGAGAGCTGCTTGAGTCCAGGAGTTCAAGACCACCCTGGACAACACAGTGAGACCCTATTTCTTGGGGAAAAACAAAGGCCAGGCACAGTGTCCGAGGTACTTAGGGCACTGAGGCAGGAGGATCACTTGAGCCAGGAGTTCAAGGCTGCGGTGAGCTATGATCGTACCACTGCACCAAGGTGACAGAGTGAGACCCTAACTCTATAAAATAAAATTTTAAAAAATTAAAAAAATAAACATTTACAAACCAATCATATTTACTGATGACTTTCAATATATACAACCATCCTAAACATTAAATGTAGGTCACCATGATCCTAAGCTCTAGCTATTTCAGTTTTTCAAATTTTCTCCTTTTTGCAGAAAAAGAAAATCCTTCTTTGGGGTTATATGCTAGATGGATTAGTTTTCTTAGCTGCAAAATATGCAGGAAGTCAAAATTACATCTAAGTTTCTCTAGGCTTCTCACTTTCAATACTCTGATATTTGGAGCTGGATGATTTTCTTAATTGGGTATAGGAGGCTGTCCTTTGTATTTTAGGTGTTTAGCAGCATTCCTGGCCTCTACCACTAACTGCCAGTAGTCGGTAGTTGCCCTGAAAGTTGAGACAATCTAAAATGTATCCAGACACTACCAAATGTCCGCTGGAAAATGTCCCCTGGAACAACCCAGGAAATACCATTCTGGACACTGGCCTTGGCAAAGCATTTATGGATAAGACCTCAAAAGCAATCTAAACAAAATAAAAAATAGTCAAGTGGGACCTAATTAAACTAAAAGGCTTTGGCACAGCAAAAGAAACTATCAACAGACTAAAAAGACACCCTACAGAATAGGAGAAAACATTTACAAACTATGTACCTGACAAAGGTCTAATATCCAGAATCTATAAGCAACTTAAATCAACAATCAGAAAATAAATAACCCCATTAAAAAGCAGGCAAAGACATGAACAGACACTTCTGAAAAGAAGACAGATAAGCGGGCAACAAATATATGCAAAGATGCTCCACACATCATACATTTAATTTCTAATAATTTAATTACATACATTTAATTTCTAATCATCAGAGAAATGCAAATTAAAATCACAATGAGATATCATTTCACACCAGTCAGAATGGCTGTTTTTTAAAAGTCAAAACATAATAGATGCTGGCAAGGCTGTGTAGAAAACGGAACACATACACTGCTGGTGGGAATGTAAATTAGTACAATTATAATGGAAAACAACATGGAGATGTCTCAAAGAACTTAAGATAGAACTACCGTTCGACCCAGCGATCCATTGCTGGTATATACCCAAAGGAAAATAAATTGTTCTACAAAAAAGACACATACACTTGTATGTTCATTGCAGCATTATTCTCAATACCAAAGATATGGAAGCAACTGAGGTGTCCATCCACAGTGTGGATAAAGAAAATGTGGTACATATACAACAGGGAATACTATACAGCCATAAAAAAGAATGAACTCATGTCCTTTGCAGCAATATGGATGCAGCTGGAGGCCATTATCCTAAGCAAATTAACAGAAAAAGAAAATCAAGTACTGCACGTTCTTATAAGTAGGAGCTAAACATTGGATAAACATGGACACAAAGATGGGAGCAGACACTGCAGCCTATTAGAGGGTAGAGGAGGAAGGGGCTGAAAAACTACCTATTTGGTACTATACTCAGTACTTCGGTGACAAGATCATTCATACCCCAATCCTTAGTATTATGCAATGTACCAATGTAACTAACCTGCACAGGTATCCCCTAACCTAAAATAAAAGTTCTAACAACCAAAGAAAAAAAAAAGTCTGAAACCCTCCCAAAAAAAAAGAATACAATATGTTAAAACATTTCATAAGAATGTTGAATAACTTTTCGTATACTTTAACAAACCATAAACAATAATGAAAAGCAATGCCTTAATATGTTTTATACCTAAAGAATACTCTTAGAAGAATACTAAAAGGCAGTAACAAAAATTTATAAGATTTCCTAAATTTACAACGTTAAGTGTCATTAACACGACAGCGATCAGATCTTTGCATCAGGCCCTTCTTTATGTAACAGAAATGTATCAGTGACAAAACCTGATAAAATCCATTCTTTCAGAAGCTTATCTATTACTAGGGTCATGGCAAAAGGCAAACGGACAAAATAACACATTCGATAAATTATGTAGCATACTGTAAGGTGACAAGTACTGTGGAGAAAAAATAAAACAGGAGAGGGAGACAGAGTATAGGGACCAGGGAGGAGGAAGAGAGGAAAGGGCTAACTTTAAATAGTGTCGTCAGGAAGGATCTTGTTGGGAAGCCAGCATTTGTGTGAAAAATTAAAGGTAAGGGAATAATTTATTGCTCTAAAATTGCTTCCAATTATTTTTCTTTGTATAACTGAATTTTGAATATTGAAGACTTTCTGAAATTACTCTTCTAAATAATGCCAGATTTTAAAAACATATAAATATAGCAAAAACTATGTCTAACTTATTATGGCAACCAATTATTCAAAGAGGCTAGCTTTAACTCCATATCCTTGTCTTCCACTACAGAAATCTGAAAATGTTCCCAAAAATATGGGCCCAAATTGATTATTATATAGTAATAATAATTATTTTATTATTAGCAGGTGGACAGAAAGAAAGATGAAACAAGAATAGTTATGAGATGAGAGCTGAAAAAGTCTAGTGATGGGTACAAGAAGCCATGCCATTATATTATTCTCAAAATACGTATCTTTTCCAAAAGAAAAAGCAGAAAAGGTTAGAGAAAAAACGAAAAACTGTTCATCTTCACTATCCTAATACTGTCTCAAAGACAGTATGTTTCTATGTTGATTTATCACAGTATTTCCTATTCACCAAACGTAAAGAGAAGGCAACAAACTCAGTTATGTGAATTCGGTGGCAGTTACTAACGTAAACTCTGCTACTAATGTAACAACATATCAATTTCACTTTTAATTCTGTGGCAAAGAGTTCCTAACATTCTAATACAATGACCACCCGGGTTCTTAATAATGTCTTAATCCCTTCTGAAGAAAATTAAATTTACCATGGATGGGAGGGACATTGGCTATAAACTATTCCGATTTCCTCTAGTGGGGTTACATGTTATCGCCATAGCAGCAGATAAACTTGAAAAAATAGTGAATGCATGTATATTTGATATGGTAGATATTAATTTTTTAAATCAACACTAAAGCAGCCCTCATCCTAACAAAAGTAATATTGTGTGTGTGTGTGTATGCACATGTGTATATAGGTGACACAGGTAGTAAATGAGAAAGAATATATATTTTGACTGACAAACAGAATCTTTTCCTACTAAATACTAAACATAATTTCTTATTCCTAAATTAAGCTGGATTAAACTTCAGAATATTCATGCTTATAAATTACACTTACCACTTGTCCATTGTGTGGGTTCTTATGAGCATATGGAGGTCCACGGATATGGTTCCACATCTGGCCAGAAGTCATAGCAAAGACTATACACTGAAAAACAGGGTGCAGTGTTTCAATATGTAAACCAGAGAATACCAGAATAATGCATTTCTAAAAGACAATGGTCATCATGAAAGTATCTTTTAAAAATCATGTATCAGCTCACACATTTTAAAAAATTTCACTTATTAACTATGGGACTTTGAGTAAGTTACTTATTCTCCCTGCATCTCAGATTCCGTATCTATAAAATTGGTATGCCAGCTCTGTTAAAGAAATATGTTAATAATTACATCGGATAACATATGTAAAGCATCTGGCCTGGTGACAGGCAATCTGATACTATGTGCTCACCTGAGCCAGTCAGAAGCACAGATGAGACACTTGATGTTCTAGTGATATTTTAAAGGACATGATAATCATCTTCTATATCCTCTAAACATCATTCTTCTATTAGTTTGGATAACCAAAACCCTACATTCTTGGATTACGGTACTTAAATCTCCGTAAGTACCTAAATACTTTCAGCAAAGTTTACGACACAGTAAATTCAGAAGATGTTTAGAGATGGAAGAAATCACAAAAAGACATAGCCAGGAATAACTCGCAAAGATTATATACCTGCTGAATATATCAGACAAAGCTGTAGTTGGAAAACTAATATTGAAGATCCAAGGTATTGCAGAGAGGGTGGGGAGAGAATGCATAAACCAGAAGTCACAGTTCAATCAGTATAACTGAGGTGTCAGCATGTTTTGTTTAAATCACAAAATATTTTAAAGTTAATGAACTGGGACTCCTTTAGACTAAATGTGTTCTCTAGGTTAAAACAGTACCTGTACTTCCTGCTATCCTATAACTTGCCCAATCACTCCTTACTTCAGCTTCCTGGCTCTGATAGGCATTTGTACCAAAAATAACAATAAAAACACCAAAAACACCAAAGACAAGAACGAGCAATGCACGACTGGGAGTCTAAATATTCTAGTTTGCACAATTTTTTAAAGGAGAAAACAAGGATACAAAAGGGAAGAAGATGGGGCAAATAAAAAACGATATCTAAACCCAGAAATTAGAGAGAATCTAAGAAGTCTCACTTTTTTTGGCTATAAAAATATGTAACCAACTAAGATATTCACAAACAGGAGTATCTACCCAAGAACCTTCTGTGCTCTTAAGACCTACCACTGGTATGTTTAAAGTACCTTGCCTAGAATTTTATCATAATACTTGGGAATGGAGGCTTATAAATTATAATACTCGAGTTGCAGATGTATCTTCAGCACCTGTGCAACCTTGAGCAAGTCCATTGCTTTGGGCCTCAGTTTCCTATCTATAGCATGAGGATAATATTGGTAGCAATCTTTCTAAACTGCAAGGGTTTTAAGTAGGTTAATCCATGTAGAGCATTTAAACATTGAGCAAGTCCATTGCTTTGGGCCTCAGTTTCCTGTCTATAGCATGAGGATAATATTGGTATCAATCTTTCTAAACCGCAGGGGTTTTAAGTAGGTTAATCCATGTAGAGCATTTAAAAATTGCACACAATACACAAGCTCAATAAATATTATTATTCCAAATCCCCCCACAATTTGCTCCCATACTCCTTAAATAGCTCCATGTCCTACCGCTCCTTAACTGGCACTGCATGCTCCATTCAGGCCACTCTTCTTGCTTCCCCCTGCATCCATGATGGTAATGCCTGCATCCACATCTTGTTCATGCTATGTCAACCCAGTCAATCTCTAAAACAGGGTTAACTCATGGCCCATAAATGGTTCTCCATGGAACCTTTCCAGTTTATTTTACTCATTTGACAATTACTTACTGGAGGCACTATTGTATAACAGGTATGTTACTGGACTCTAGAGATGTAAGAATGAATAAGATAAAGAGGCTTGCCATCCTCAGCTAGAAATCCTGAATAAGTGACATGTCCCCTGACATAAAAAAAAGTATCATTTATTCATACAAGGTTTATTCACCAAGAGCTTACTATATATTTAAGAACTAATTTAGAAGCTGAGGATAAAGCGATGAACAAAAACATGAGACAGAAAACTGTCATTAGGAAGCTTACATTCTACATGGAGGAAAAGAGGCAATAGCAGCAACAATACTATTTACGGTATGTCACCAGTTTAAAAAATCATCTTAATACATAATTAATCAAGATTCCAGGAAATGGTTTAATAAAACAAAACCAGGTTCAAACCTGGAATAATACACAGAATCATCTGAAGTAGTGGCAAATGTATTTACTCACATAGCGCTGGCACTTTTCATAAGAAACAACAAAACACTGAGTAACATGCACTTCTAAAATGCAAAATAGCCTAGGTTTCAGTTTATCAAAATTCTCATAACTGATGCATCCTTTTTTGGTTGTTAACAACTGATATGTCACCATTTCATTACTTTCAGCAATCTGGAAGTTTTAATTTTGCAATCAATTTGACTAAAATATTTTTATTTAACTATATTCATACAAAAAAGGGCATGATTCATAGTTACAGCTAGATTAATTTTCACAAAACACACTAACAGAAAGACAGGAGCTCTCTTGTGTCTCTTCCTAATCATAATCTACATAACCTGCCCAAGGTAAGAAACATTTTCTTGAAAATTCTGTATCACAGAGTATGTAAATACTCAGCTTTAGCAGATAAAACCAAACACATTTCTCAGGAGGTTGAACAAAATTTATATTCCAAATAACAGTACACGAGAGATCCACTTGATATCCATCTTTACCAATTATTGGTATTAGCTGTGAGCCTCTGTGTGTTCATTCTGGATCTTCTGGCAGAGGTATGATAGTGTCACACTGTCATTTTATTTGCATTTCCCTGATTAATAAGGTTGAATACCTTTTCATATATTAATTGAAATTTGGACATTTTTGTGAAGTACCCAGCAAGTCATTTACCTCTTTTAAAATTTCACTGTCTTATTCTTGTTTTGTCAAGATTCTTTATATTTCTGGGTACCAGTTCTTTGTTAAATATACACATGGCAAATAGTCCTCACCAAACATGAGGCTTGTCTTTCTTTTCATTTTATTAATGGTGTTTTTGACAAACAGAAGTTCTTAATTTTAATGTAGTTCAGTTTATCAATTATTTCTTCTATTATGGTTACCACTTCTTATGTTCTGTTTTAAGAAATCTTTGCCCACCCACCAATTATGGAGATACATATCCATGCTTTCTTCTAAAAGTGCTAATGTTCGCATTTTACTTTTAGATTCACGATTCCTCTTGTGTATGGTGGGAGGTAAAAGTTGAAATTCATCTTTTTCCCATATGGATATCCAGTTGGCTCGGCAATATTTATCAAAAATGCCATACTTACTCACTGCACTGCAAGGCCACTTTCGTTACAAATCAAGTGATTTTATAAGTGTGAGTATGTTTCTGGACTATAGATTCTGTTCCAGATGGCTTTATGTGAAATGAATAAATATTAAAGATCTATAATAAATGTTGATATCTGTAAGTGTAAGTTCTCCAGCATTATTCTTCCTTCATATTGTCTCAACTATTCTATTCATTACCCTCTGCTAAAATCTCATTGTCAATTTCCACAGAAAAAAATCTGCACAAATTCTACTCAAGATCAAGACGAGTATCTTTACAACGTTGAGTCTACCAATCCATTATCAGGTTTACCTGCCATTTAAGTTTTTAAAAAATTTATTTGAATAGATTTTTCAGTTTTCAGTGTGCATATCTTTTATTAGATTGATTCAAAACTTTTTGTGATGCTATGACAATAGATTTTTTTAAAACTTCCTTTTTTTATGATGCATTATGACATGAATCATCATTATTTACTATGTATTCATTAACCTTACCCAATTTACGAATTAGGTCTAATTTTTTTTTCTATGTACAAAATCAAATCATCTGCTAAGGAGGGCAATTTTATTTTTACCGGGATGTGTGTGGGTTTTTTGTTTTGGTCTTAATGCAATGCTCAGGGTCCCAGTAAAATACTCAAGAGCAGGCATCTTGTATTATTCCTTATCTCAGGAATTTTAGGAAGTTGCCAAATATGATGTTTACTGTATGTTTTTTAATCAGATTAAGGAAATTCCCTTCTATTTTGTTTTTTCTCTTATTCCCACATAAACACTGAACCTATTAAGTGCTGATATGCATGTATCAAAGATGATCATATTTTTTTGTTTATTAGCACAGAGAATTACACTGATAATTTTCACATGGTAAACCATTCTTGTATTAGTGAAATAACTTGACAATGTATTACCATTTTTATTTATTACTGTCTGTAATTTTTTTGTTTAGAATAAATGCATCTATATCCATGAGAAAGACTGGCCTATCAGTTTTCTATTTTTAAATGTCCCCGTCAGATTTTAGAATCAAAGTTAGTCTTGCTTCAGACAATAGAGGCACTTCCTCTTTTTTTATTCACAGAAAAGTTTACCTAAGGTGAGTATTATTCCGTCTCAATTGTTTAGAAGAGTTAGTCATCATGGAATGAAAGTTTTAGCAATGTTGGATTCAATTGTTTCAGCAATGGATTCAATCCATACTGGAGTATGAAGACTTTCTCATTCTTCTTGTGTTGGTTTTGTTTGCTGGTTTAAAGTTGTTCAACTTCCTTGATATTGTCAACCTTAATAGTGATGTGTTATCACCCTAATCTAATTGGGGAATGTACTGAGCCATGGCTGGATATGGCCCTGGCAAAGCTCTGTCTACATTTGATCTCAACCACTGAAGGTTTTCCAATAAGAGTCCAGTGGGTCCCAAATTGTAACTTCTAATTCACAAGATTGCAAAATACTCTACTCTGCTTTTTAGAAGCTTTCCACTTGGGAAACTTATCCATTTACCACCAGCATACATCCCGAGACTCGAGACTTGTGAAGTTTCTAACCAAAAACTCTGCTTATTTTTTTGTTTCTCCAGAGAACCAGACACTCAGGTATCTAAAGTTTCATACAGCATCATAAATGGTTCTTTTTGAACTCTGGCTTCAGGACAAAAGTGACACTAGACAATAATCCTGAAAAGAGTAAGAATAAAACAGCTACTCAGATATTTGTTGCAGTTAATTCAAAGAACACCCTCAAAGCTAGTCCTTTTGGAAGTATTTTGTTTTGGACATTTGTGTTTTCTTTGAGAGTCACAAATAATACCATCTTGGGACACCAAGATTTTGGACATATGTTCATCAAAGCATTTGTATGTTACTGATATACATATCTGATTTACCTTCCTCACTACACATGTAAGGTCCCTGTGGGCAGGGCTCACGTGCTAGTCTTTTTCACTTGTCTTATCTTTGTATCTCCACATGGTTCTTCATAGATTTTGATACACGTAGCTTTCAAACTCTTGTTGAATGGTCAACAAATGAATAAACATGAACAAACATAGAAAAGGTAAATGCACTGAAACAAAGAATCACTATTCTAAGACTGATCAATATGTGAATATGTAAGTTAAGATTTCTAGAAAAAAAATGTACTAGTCCCAGCCATGACCTACAATGCTATAAGTAACAGTGAAAAAAAACAACCATGTCTTAAAATGTCCTTAAACCTATTTATTCATGTAACTTTCACTCACTCAACAAATATTTACTAAACACTTTCTACATGCCAGGCACAATTCTAAATGCTGTGGCTACATGTACAAAACAGATACCAATCCTTCCACCTCACTGCAGTGGGAGAACACTTACTTTCAGCATTTATATAGCAGGCAAGCATTCAATAAACACAACTGAACATAACCACATGTTATCTTTCTCACATCTAGAGGTTGCCATAGCCCTGTGGTGAGCTGAGAACACCATTGGCTCAAGGCATCCTCCTTTAACCGTCTATTTTCCTTGTTTTTCAAAACAAACTGCTCAGATCCTATAGTTTTCCAAAGGGTCAAGATGTTCACGCCCACTGTAACTACAGCAACTTTGCTTTTAACTATTCTATACAACGAACTTTCATAAGCGATTTGGTTTGGGGAAAACATTTCACATTGTATTTAAAAAAAGAAAAATAACTATTACATGCTTTCAACACTTTGGGTTCATAATTATTTCATAGATTTCCACTATGCAGTTGATACAGCTTTGAAAACAAAATTTAATTAAGACCACGAGTTAATTTGAAGGTATCTTAATCAGCTGAATATGAAAATAAGCTGCTAGTGAAAGTGAAAATTTTAATGCTAACTATGCAGAAAATATGTAATATTCTATACACATTTTATACAATCCTTTGTATATTCCATGTTTTTAAAATATAAAAATGTTTTCAAGTTATAAGTAATTTAATGACATTACTTAATAAACAGGTGGTATAAATCAGCAGAGTAACAGCAGACATGCATATCAGTGAATTTATACACTGCATTTCTACTATTCACAAGTGAATTATTTATTGTTCATTTTTTAAAACTTGGTTTCAGTGTTATACAGAAATACTATCATTATTTCTTTCATTTATACTCAATCTATATACTGCTTTAGTTACAAAAAAAAGGAAAGGTAAGACGTATCTTTACAGTCATTTCAGCAACAGCAACAACAAAAAGCTTAAGACTAAGTCTTTAATTCCATGGAAAGGAAATTATGCATTGAGGATAACAATTTCAACAAGTATTTATAACCACTATTGAGTTGGATTAAGGAGATGAGCCGTGCATGAAGTGTAGTAGATCCATGTATGGAACTTCACAGTGAGTCTTATTCAATTGTGACTTTATAATAAGATAAGCAAAAACTCAGCCAAGAACATTCAAATGCTAAAATCTATCCATATATGAGTAGTTTTAAAATGTACTTTGAGTTTTTGAGGCCACTGCTTACTCCTACTACAGAAAATTAAGAATTAGATATATTAAGTATATCCTAAAAATATACGAATTCATTTTATTTTCTGTTTTCCTAACTCTTTACACAAATGGCTATACATAGAAATACCTGTTTGCAAAAACCATAACTAACTCCAAATGGCCAAATGACATAGTTGCCTGATGAGCAGAACTGTCTGGGGCCATCCAAAAACAACATTATTTCATTGAAAAAAATATTATCAGAAATTACTTGCTTCTCATTTTTAAAGAGAAAAAAATAAAGATTATATGTATATACTAAAAGTTATATAATTTTATTCAAATAAATGTGGATGAAAAAAGACCCTTTTCTACCCCCATTTGAACTCAAAGCCATCTGTAACTTTGAATGGTCACAAGAAATAAATTTCTACTGATAAATCACAATGTGTACATGCCAAAGTACCTTTCATGAATGTAAATACTGTATAATGACATATACTAATCTCCAATGTTGAAGATTTTCAAAAAATTTAATTAAAATGACATAATTTATTTGGGGCAAAAGAAACATGAAGGTGTATGAATCATCCTACAATACACAGTATTAAAAGGCAGAAAACAGCTTCTATCCTACGGTGATTTACTGTGATAATAAGGTTGGGTTATTACATTATTTTAATGATGCTTTATCTTTCATGCTTTTAAGTGCATATCCTTAGGATATTTTCCTGTATTTGAAATGAATGTTATTGCTTATCCTACTAATATTTTCTGGCTTGAAATGACAGTCACCTATGAGGACCTTTAGGTTGCCATGAAGATCTTCATTATGTGCTACAAAACATACAATTTTAACTCATTTTGGTTCCAAGTCAATATTGTTTTCTCAAGACCATAAACTACGTATCTATGCTACACTTTTTGAAATTATGTACTAGTGTATTTCAATATTTTACTCCATCATTCTACTTTAAATTCATCATAAAGCAAGTAATGTATATGCTTATTGTCCACCATCCTCCGTGTTTAGGGGGTGAGGGAAGACAGAAGGGAGTGAAACCAGAACCAGAACCAATCAATGATACATATTCTATTCCATGAACAATCATCAGTATCTATAAATAGTAGTTAACAAAAATTTTTCCCCCTTAGAAAGCATGAGACCAGGAAGATTTACTTATGAATATCTTTAGCTCTTTTTTAAAACTAAGAACCAGGAAATTCTAACGTATATGTATGTTTTAATATTTACATATATTACTTTGCAATATATTGCAATATACTGCAAATTTAATCTCACTGTTTAAATATATTGCAAAGTAATATATTTGCATATATTACTTCCACATATTAATATTTACATATACTAATTTCCTATGTCAGGAAATTGCAACCTTTCTATCTCCATCCTACACCCTAAAACATATAACTTCCACTCCCTCAGCATACACTTCTCTTACCCTACCTTTAAGTCATATACAATAAAATAACACAGTAAAAAAAAGACAAAAAAAATATGAGCCTTAAAATACAGTCTACCCAGGACTAAGTGTTCACAACACTAAATAATTCTCCTTGGAAGTACTTTTGTATAGGTTCAGTGATAAAAAGACACAACTGCTAATTGTACCTAGACTTGTCCTTTACTAAAAAGTCAGCATGGGGCCAGAGATTCTGTACCAGACATTTCTCTCATTCATTTTCCTCCCTTTGTATACATTTTTTTGTTCTATGGAAGTTGTCTACTCTTACAAGGTTCATTACTGTTTTATTTTAAGAGCTTTCCTTTTACTGTCCAGTCAAAGGCTTTCATCAGAGTTTGTGTAAGTCAGATGACAATATTTTGGCAAATTTAAAAATATACATTTTTTTCCTTACTTCCAAGGAAAAATGAGATATTAGTTATTTTAAACAGACAAATGTTTGAGAATCTGAATGAATAGGTCAGCATTTTGGACAGTCTCTTAACTTTCTAAGGAAATCTCAAAAGTAGGATACGAAAAATTACATATGAACAAATTCAGTTTTTCAATTTATAAGCAACAATCAAGTTTGGTGGTGATGGTAATGGTGGTGGTATCAGGCAGAAATGATAAAGAAGACCCAATTTATATATTTATATATACATATGTGTAACATAAATTATATATACAAATTATTTACATAAAACATATAATGTAAATTATATATTATATATTTAATCTCATTTTTTAAATGATTTAAGGAGTTGCCAAAGGCCATCAAACATAAGTATCTCTGTATTAATGAGAAAAACTGCAAGAGATGCAGAAAAGTATTACAAACGTTGTTGAATTTAACATTATATTATCAGTGTAGTGTTTTCAAACTCACTGTTTGAAAACATGTCTGTTCTCTGCAGCCTTTTATTGACTTCTAAAAGGCTGTGATTGGGGAGCAGGCATACCTGCCAAGGTATCTTAGAATTTATCTTCTGCCATGCCAAGTTAATTCGCTTTCCAAGATTCACAGTAAAAGAGCAAAATAATAATAATAATAATAATAATAATAATAATAATAATAATAAATCTGTATAACATAGCAGAGGTTTTCAAGAAAACTGATCAACTGAAGTATTTAACATCTATACATCATATAAAGTTCTTCTATGAATTTATTTGTAGTCATAAGGGCTCACTGTATCTACTGGGTTGAATCACCAACATATAAGACACATGTCCAGATTTAAAGAAGCCCAGCTTTGTGTAAACAATACAGAACTTGCAATCAGATCAATGAGATCAAATCTCAGTTCAATCACATTCTAGCTTTGTAAGCTTCTACAAGTTGAGATTACTGAATCTTTGTTTCCTTGTTTATAAATGAGGACAATATAAATTCCTTTGCACAGTTATGAAGCATACCCCAAAGAAAAAAGAGATCAGTAAAGAGTAATGCCAACTATTACTAGCTTACAATGCAATAATTCTGGGCTCTTCTTGAGGAATAAGAATAATGTAAGGATGTTAATGTTATTTGAATGTAATTCAGAGATGAGACTACATCAATTTTTGGTAGACTAAAATAGTGACAAGATTTGA
Organism: Homo sapiens; assembly: GCF_000001405.40. NCBI lineage: Eukaryota > Metazoa > Chordata > Mammalia > Primates > Hominidae > Homo > Homo sapiens. The sequence goes on along the minus strand of NC_000008.11, from coordinate 15,663,923 downwards.
TATGACATTAACTCTTAAATACCAAAGAAGTTTTGATTTTGCAACAACACAGTGAAAGTACTGCATTTTTACCAGGAAACCTGGGTAGCTTTACTGAATTAAGCAACTTGAAAACTAGCATGGAAAAAAGCCAAAACACTTTTGAACTTAATGACTAAGGTAATTAAGATCATCCATAGTGTCCAATAACTTTAAATACAGTACAATTAATTAATCCATTTTAACTCATTCATCAAAAGTGAGAAAACAATATTAAGAAACTTTCTTTAAAAAAATCTTATCTTCCTTGCTCTTAAAAGGCCAAACATCTAATTTGTATTTTGACTATGTACTAGAAAGCCACAGAGGTTCTGTCTGAATTTCTAAGCTCTAGGTATTACTGCAGAAAATGAAATTGCTTCAAGGTGACTCTTGCCTGGGCTGCTTCTCAGTCTGTCCTATCACTTCCAACTTAGTCATCAAGACCCCTAATTTTTTGGTAAAAATAAAATGGGAAGGATGAAGGGCTACTGCAAGAAAGCAAAAGAAACAAACTGACAATTAGCTGTAAACAATCTGTTATGTTTTACAGATATAATACATTGTATGTAGTTATATCTTTAATATAATAACATTTTTATTATATTACAGACAATACTTATCTATAAGATATACAGATATATAATGTATTTATCTAGATATATGTATATGTATCTAGTCTCAATTTCAACATTCTATTTATAAATATTTCATACATTTTCTGTTAGATTTATTTTTAAGTACCTTATATTTTCCCTTCCTATTGTGAAAGAGATTTTATTTTCAATTATAACTGAATTGTTTTGTGTATAAAATCCTAATGAGTTTCGGCTATTGGCTGTGAGCTGGGAACTGCTGAACTCTACTGTCATCTCTTTCCCCTCCTACCTTGCCATCACTGCTGTAGCCCCACACAACTGTAGTTCTCTGAATATCCCAGGCTTCACTTATGTTGAATACTTGGCCTTAACGACTTTAGAATTTCATTTTCTTCTACAGAATTCAGCTCATGTCACAATCTGGGAAGCTTGTCATGATTCCCTTTACTCTAGGTTAGGTTTCTCTCCTGTGCATTCCTGTAATACTCTGTTACTTACTGCCGTCATAGCACACATAACCTTACACTCCATTTGTTGATTACTCTGTATCCCCACAATGCATTTCTCACAGGCAGAGTGTATTTCTTAACTTTATATCGCCAGTATCTAACATATATCAGTCACATAGAAGATACACAAGAAACAGTTGTCAGAAAAGAAATAGCTGAATGAGAAATTCAGAAATAGCTGAATTTCCAAACCATTTGCAAATTATTCTGAGCTATTAATTCTGATCAAGTCTTACCATATTTCTAGATGTATTCAACATGTATTTATCTAGCACTTGTGCCAAGTACAGAGGGACAGTACATGCAGTGAAAAGTTGAAGGAAGATAGCACAGTTTTGATTGACAGAAAACTCAAACTAAATTATCCAAGTTCTAAAAAGTTACTTCTCATTCAGACTTAAGTTCTATTATAGTTATATCTGGCTCATTTTGTTAATATTATACAACTTATATTATTACACAAAGAACAGGAAATAAAAAAAGCACAATGTATTAACATACCAGAGACACCATGGCCCAACCAGTCTTGTTATAGATGAACTCCAAGTTGTTCCTTCTCAAATAAAGCAAACCTCCAACAAGCGACACTAACAGGGCCAAAGCAATGGTACCAGAGTAGTTGGGTGGTCTGAAAACCCGAATCTGCAAAAATGCAATAGAAATTTCAAAAATGAAAGAAAAATAAAATTTTTCTTTTGATCATATTCTAGTCCTCATAATTTTCAACGCAAAGAACTCAGAAACATGCCACCCAACTTTTCATACGTGACACTAGCACTACTTTCATTCTGCCATAAGATATATGCCTTAAGACATAATGGCTATGTAAAACGACTTTGCACTTCCCTGATGACTAACAATGCTGAGCATCTTTTCATGTGCTTATCAGCTATTTTTATATTTTCCATGAAGAAATGCCCATTCAGATCCTTTGCCCATTTTGAATTGGGTTTTCTCTTTTTAAGTTGTAAGACTCATGTATATATATATATATAGACAAACTAGCTGTAAGTATCTTATAGAAAAATTATTTGCAAATATTTTCCCCCATTCTGTGTGCTACTTTTTTGACGGTATCCTTTAAAACACGAAGACTGTAGTATAGTATAGCTTTTACTACTTACTATATCCACATAGACAGCTTATTAATTACAAAGGAGGACCAAAAATCAGTAATTATACCATGAAAAAATGGGAAACATCTTGATCAGATATTTGAAATTCGTATCACCAGTGAAGGACAGATGGACATTACGTGCCTATAGAGGTGATTAAAACAAAACAGGACCTATGTAATATTATACTCAAGGATGCATGAGCAGAAGTCAATCATGAACAAAGATGAGGCAGATCAAATGAGGATCACTCTATTTAAAAAGTAGCAAAGGACTATATTCTTCAAAGTGTCAATGTTTTTAAAGAGAAAAGACAGGCTACAGAAATATTCCGGATTAAAAGAAGCTTACAAGACATGACAATTAAATGAAATATCTAACTCTAGACCAAATCTTGTACTGAAGGTGGACAATGTAAAGGGTATTAGGTTACTTGACAAAATTGTAATATGGGTAGTGGTAGCTCAAATAAAAGTATTATGTAAATGTAAACCTATGAAGTTGATAACTGCTTTGCTTATTTCTTTCAAAATGCAATTCACCCTAATTTTTTTCAGAAAGAAAAAATTGTGCATATGTGTCTGCATGTGTGGAGAGAGGTAAAGAGACATGGGGGTAGCAGGGAGAATGATAATCACAAAGCAGATGGAATAAAATGTTAACAATAGGTGAACCTAAATAAAGGGTATACATTGGCATTATTTGTACTGTTTTCATTTCTAAAACATTTTAGAAATTGTTTCCACATATAGTTTTATGGGTTTTTTTTTTTTTTTTTAACAAAAGTTTATCGACTAAATGCGTAAAGTCTGCTAGGGAGACAGGTTAGAATAAGTTCTGATTAAAATTTAGTATTTCTTATAAGGAAACAATAGTACCCTTTCAATATTACTCTTAATGTCTTGCACCAACTAAATGATACATTGCATAACAAAATATTTGCCAAAACATTAAAAAATGATAAGAATTAGGAAATAAGTTTAGTCACCAAAATGTCATTAAAACCAATGATATAATTTTACAATGACAGTGGTACCATGTGGGCAATTACCACCTTGACTCAGAACAAATGTGTTTATATCTTATAGTAAAAATTAATGCTTCTGTATTACTGCCTGCACGAACGTACTTTTAAAATAACTGGCTCCAATTGTTTACTGTCAAAAGTAGTTGTGAGAATAGAGAAAAAATGGTCATAAAATCTCCAAGTAAGTATGAACTACCATCACCATTTAGGTTCATTTCCTTCCATAATAAATTGTCTATGTCAATCTATACTCATATTTGTACTTTATAAAAAACTAATAGATCATACTATTAATTAATACTATTTTTCTAACCTACTTTGAAATGTTTTACATCTTGAGCTTCATTCTAGGTAAAATATTCTTGTAAATCATTTTTTGGCTATGCCATAGTATATTTACTTTTTCTTATTTTTAGACATTTGATTTATATTCAATTTTTCCCAATAAAATGAATATTATTTTCAAAATTTCTATGGATAAAAATTTAAATCATCCTTGATTGCATCCTTAGGTTAAATTCCTAGAAGCGGAATTGTTAAGTTAAATTACATACAGACATGACACATGCTATTAGTATGGTTACACCAATTTATAGTCCCAAAAGCAGTAAATCTGAGTAGACATTTTTCCACGTAGCTTTAAGGTGGGTATTAACCTTTTCTGTTTGACCAAAAGATAGATTAAAAATTATATATCTTGCTTTTTAATTAGAATTTCCTTGATTACTACCACTGAAACGTTTTAAACGTTTTTTAGCCTCTGAAATTACCTTGTGCTTAACTCCTGTATTTTTAATGGCTTTTAAAATATCAGTGAACCACTATTTTAAAAAGCATCTGAATTCAGCTAATAGTCCAACTTATCATTTGCAGTAATCGAACAGTTTTCTCTATGCAAGGAGAAACAACCATAGAGAAATTAAAAAGTATTACTGTGGCCTTATTAAAATGCTCCATAAAAACAAACTAACCAGCCTATTATTAAAACTGTGAGGAATAAAAACATACATGAACATCCGTTCTGTCAGCAATCCACTTTGCTAGTTGCTCAGCTGCAAATCCAATTCTTTGGAGGTCAAAAGTATCAGCTCTCTTAGGTCTGCCTTTTGGAGGAAAATGCATGAATGTAGGAGCAGAGTTCATGTTGAGCTGTAAAACATGAGAAAAAAATACTAAATATAGGATCATCTTATCATTAATCCAATATTTTACACTTTTTCTGTAGAAATTCGGGGAAAACAGCATTTATTATGAAAATCCAAGTGGTTTTCCAGAGGTAAATTTCTGTTTTTATTTGTCTTAATTCACTACTGGATGAAAAAGAACATGTAAATCTGACTAAGTTATCTGAATCTTCACATTTAACATACATCATTCAAATTATGCATTATGTTCTGTATATTTTGTAAGTCATTTCGTTCTTTTTCTTTCTTGAATTCTATAATTAGGGTAAAAAAAAGTGACTGAAAGTGCAAAGTAGAAATATAGCAGTTTGGCAGTACATGAATTATTTTACTTCTTAAGCAGTTATTTTTAAAAAGTACTGGAATTTGTTTTTAAAAAATAAGCATATTATGGAATTAATTTCCAACAAGTTATAAGTAGATTGAATTCCCTATTACAAATGTAAAGACTTTACTTTTTTGTAATGATGAAGACTATGAAAGAGAAACCAACATTTCTGCTCTTAACAAGTTAAATTTACCAGAGAATGAAGAAGAAATCCTCAAATAACACTTTTTCTGCTCAACTGCTCTATTAACTCAACTGTGTTAAATTGATTATATTTCAGAAATATTTTCTACAGGTAATTTCCATTTGAAAAGTATACTAAACAGAACACTACCCTCGTATAAACGGTGCTTATTTAACAATATCTAAAAACATATATTAGGTTAATTTGCAGTAAGCAATAAACTACAAATATATATATTTGTATATATGTGTATATATATTGTATGTGTATATATATTGTATGTGTATATATATTGTATTTGTGTGTGTGTGTGTGTGTGTATATATATGTGTATATATACACGAATTAAATTTCTGTTGCCCAGGAATTATAAAAAAAAGTTTTAAAATGAAAGGCCAAGAGATTTTTCAGCCCTTGACTTGCAGTACAGTTCAGTATTTTCTAATAATGAAAACAAAAATCAATATATAAATATACATTAGATCACAGTTGATATCAAGCAAACGATACAACAGTAAAAGCTTAGCTGCCCATAACAACAAAGTTTAATAACCAAGTACAGTCAAGACCAAAACAGGTCTTGCCCTACAAATGAACTCTGACTACAGCAGTCATTATTTACAAGACAGCTCCAAATCATTTTACAGAGCTTCACACAACTTAGCACAAACAAGCTGAATACCCAAAAGAAATGGCTCTATATCAAAAATTTCTCATTTTTAGTACTGCAAATGCAATCAAATTTCCATTATTTACCTCCATGTTATCTACATTAGTGCTCTTCAAACACTACTGCTAAAGATTAAGAGTTGGTCCATGTTTGCTATGGTTTGAATGTTTGTCCCCGCCAAAACTCATGTTGAAAATCTAATTGCCACTGTAGCAATATTAAGACGTGGAAGCTTTAGGAGGTGATTAGGCTATGAGGGCTCCACTCTCATGGGTGGGATGAGTGCTATTATAAAAGTGCAAGTTGAGCCTGCTCTTGATTCTCTCTCACACTGTCCCCTCATGCCATGTGATGATGCAGCAAGAAGTGCCTGGCAAGACGCCGGCAGGTAAATATTTAAATATTGGACTTTCAGCCTCTAGCACTATGGGAAACAAATATCTGTTCATTATACTTATCCAGTCTCAGGTATTCCGTTACAGCAGCCCAAAATGGACTAAGACAAACACTGGTCTCAGAGGCACTGGGTGCTGCTACAACAAATACCTGGAAAGGTGAAATGGTTTTGGAACCAGATAATGGGTAGAGACTGAAAGAATCTGGAAGAGCATACTAGAAAAAGCCTAGATTGCCATAAACGGAGCACTGAGGGTGATTCTAGAGAGGGCTCAGAAGAAGAGGGGAGGTGCAAGGAAAGTCTACAACTTCTTATTTAAGTGGTTATGATCAGAATGCTGGTAAGAAATATGGACAGTAAAAGCCATTCTGATGAGGTCTCAGACGGAAATGAGAAACAGGTATTGAAATCTGGAAAAAAAGACCATCCTTCTTACAAACTGCAAAGAACTTAGCTGAAGTGTGTCTGTGTCCTAGGACTTTATAGAATGCAGAACTTAAAAGCAATCAACGAGGATATCTGGCAGAAGAGATATCTAAGCAGCAAAACATTCTGGATGCAGTATGGCTTACTTTAAATGCATATAATAAAATAGAAGACAAAAAATGATTTAAAGACACAATTTATAATTAAAAGGGAAGCAAAACATAAAGATTTGGAAAACTCTCAGCCTGGCTATGTAAACAATAAAAAACATGTTCAGGAGAGAATATGAAGAATGTGGCCTAAGGACTATTTATAAGGAGATTAGCAGAGATGGAAAGGAAGCCAGGTATTACTCATCAAGAAAATGGGAGAAAGACCCTGAAGGCATTTCAGAGCTCTTTGGGGGAAAACCTGGGGTATCTATGGGACGTCAAAGCTCACTGTTCAGAGCCACTTGGGGTGTCCACTCCCTGCATACTGCTGTAGTGCTCCTCAGCTGCCCTCACCAAGGATCAAGTAGGCTCAAGTGTTGCTCAACCCACTACTCTGGAGGGTGCAAGCCATGAGCCTTGGCAGCATTCTGGGCACTAGCTCTGCACGTGCCCAGAATGTAAGAGCTGAGGAGGTATGTCTTCCTTCACCTAAATTTCAAATGACTTTGTGGAGAGCCCAAGAGTCCTGATAAAGACTTGTTGCAGAGGCAGAGCCATTGTAAAGAATCCCCCTTAGTGGATCTACAGCAGCAGGGCCTCTGCTGAAATCCCAAACTACAGAGCCAACAGCATGCAACACCAGCCTGGGAGAGCTGTTGCGTGGGCTTGGGCCTGGGAGAGCTGTTGCGTGGGCTTGGGCCTGGCAAAGCTATAGAGGTGGGTGGGGCTGCCCAAGGCCTTGAGGGTTCAACCTTTGCCCCAGTGTGCCCAGATGATGGGACGTGGAATGAAAAAAAATAATCTCCAGCTTTCAGATGTAATACTGTTTTCCCAGTCAGTTTTTGGACTTACTTGGAGCCAGTTACCCCTTTTTCTTTTCTTGCCTATTTCTCCCTTTTGGAAGGGAATGTCTATTCAATGCCTGTTCTACCATTTTATTTTAGAAGTAGTTAATTTGTTTGATTTCAGATACACAGCTGGAGGGGAATTTGCCTCAGGATGAATCATGTCCTGAGTCTCATCTATATCTGATTTTGTTAAGACTTTGGACTTTGGAATTTTGAGTTGGTACTAGAATGAGTTCAGACTTTTGGCAGTATTGGGACAAAATGAATGTATTCTGAGTGTGAGAAAGACATGAGTTTGGTAGGGTTAGGGGCAGAATATGATGGTTTGAATGTTTTTTACTCATTGTTTGAATGCAAAATATTCAAACCATCATATTCTGCCTCTGCCCACCCCACAAACTCCTGTTGAATAAATTAGCCAGTCTCAGGTATTCTGTTGTAGCAGAACAAAATGAACTAAGACAATGGTTAAGCAGTTAGCCCTTCCAAAGGGATTCCTAGGTAATCTTTTCATCGTTTCTTTCCTTTCTCTTCATTCCTTTACCACAACTTTTAATTATTTCTACAGAATTTAGATTTAACCAACTTATGCAAAAATAAGGTGGTTTGGGGAAGAAGGAAGGCTACACACCAGTATTACTGCTAATGTTATGTAATAGTAATAAGAACTATTTAGCATATATTTATCCATCAGGAATAGAGCTAAACAGCTACATATATTAGTGTTAGCAGTGGTGAATCCCTGGAGGTCTGCAGCAACTTGATTCTTGGCTCCTCAAAGGAAAGAATTCATCTGAGGGTTATAAAGCAGAGTTAGAGACTGAGGCAAGTTTTAGAGCAGGAGTGACGTTTATTTAAAAGTTTTGGAGCAGGAATAGAAGGAAGTGCACTTGGAGGAAGGCCAGGTGGGCAACTTCGAGACATCAAAGTGCACTGTTCGGACTTTGACTTGGAGTTTCATACACTGGCATGACCCCAGGGTTTGTCTCTTCCCCCTTGATTTTTCCCTTTGGGTGGGCTATGTGCCTGCACAGTGGCTTGCCAGCACTTGGGAGGGGCCGTATGCACAGTGTGTTTACTGAAGTTGTGCACATGCTCATTTGAGGCATTTTTCCCTTACTAGTGGAGTGTTCCGCGAGGAAGGTCATATTACAGTTAAACACCGCCATTTTGTCTCTTGGTGCGCATGCTTGAGCCTACTCACTTAAGTCCTAAGATCTTAGCAGGAAGCTGCTAATCACCATCTTCAGGTGTTTTCTATTTACTGGGAGACTGCCTTTCCTAGCAGCCAGCTGCAACCAATTATTATTTTAGCAAGACAGTTTAACAACCACCTGATCATCACATGATGGTCACCTGACATCCTGGGGTGAGGGACCCTCTCCTGCCCTGCTCATGTCTGCATAGCTACCTACTCTAAAGCTAACATCTTATTTTAATCTTCCCAACAGTTTTATGAGAAAGGTACTATTATTTTCCCTCTCTTACAGATGAGTAGAGGCATATAAAAATAAAGTGATTTACCAAAGGTCACACAGCAATGAAGAAGTAAAGATGGAAGATGAACTCAGGTTTTCTGACTCTAGACACTTCATTACCAGGATATCATAATACCTTCTGAACTCTATCTCCATTTAATGAAAACTATTTTATTTATTATTATTTTTTTTGAGATGGAGTCTTGCTGTGTCACCCAGGCTGGAGGGCAATGGCACGATCTCGGCTCACTGCAACCTCAATATCCTGGGTTCAAGCAATTCTCCTGCCTCAGCCTCCCCAGTAGCTGGGATTACAGACATGTGCCATCACACCTGGCTAATTTTTGTATTTTTAGTAGAGATGGGGGTTTCACCACGTTTGCAGGGCTTTAACAATATTATTTTCATAAACCTTTTTTAATAAGTTCATTAGAAGACTGATTTGTAAACACAAGCTCCTGCAATGCAGTGTAAACATCATACAGATTATAACATACAACATGTATATATAACATATATAAAAAATATATCTCTAATGTATCTAATAAGTGTGATATGGCCCTGTACATCAGGAGTCTATCTTATTCCATTCTCCCAGCAGTGGGCTTCCATGTAATGGACATTTAGCAACGTTCCTTAAACTGAACAAAGCACACAGTTACCAGTTCCTTTCTTCCCTGTGCTTCTCCCATTCCATACTTTGTTCATGTTTGTTTCTCTCATGGATATATGAGAGACGTCTATAGCAACCATGTAAATACAAAATTATAAAGCTGAAAGTCCCCATCTTCCTCACTCCCCACATGAAAACTATAGGAAAATCCATACTAAGACCTAATGTTCTAAAACTTTAGAGGTTCTTAAAAACTCATAGAATTCAGTCTTTTTTCTTAATTAAAATGCCCAATTCCCCAGGGCTACCCACAGCAGAGCACAACATAGACCTGTTTCCTGGATGAGAGCTCCTTCTAACACACCATATTCATTAACCCACTAGCCTATCATCAGATACCTAGCCTCAGCCATTCCTATGGGAATCACATATAATTGAAGTTACTTCCCCAGTGAGTCCCCAACAAGCTAGAAATTACCAAGTTTCTGCACTTGTTATTAATATTATCTTCAGACACCACATTACTGCTAACAGTGCTTTAAAACATCAATTCAGAGACAGTACTTCAGCAAAATATGATTTAATAGTCAGTTAAAAAATAAGCATTAAAAACCTTTTAGTGTTTCTCAAGTGAAGCAAAACATATACTTCTCCACTTCTGTAGATTAAAATTCCTCATAAAACTCATTAACTGCTATAACTTTTACACATTTCTGCATTTTAAAATGAAAACTCTTGTTGCTAAGCCAAGGACTAGATTTTGGGAAAGACAAGGCAGTTCTACACCAGGATTCCTGCTGAATCAAAATTAACCTGAGAAAATGTTTCAATTAAAAACAACTGACTTCAACTCTTATACGCCAAACTTTAGAATAATTATGTCTAAAGCATACAAAAGAATTTAATGATTATATGTAACCATTTATTTATATGATTATATACCAGCAGCCTACATTCAGTACTCAACACAAAGATAATAATATCACAGAAGATTTTAAAAAAAAATATGAATTAACTGCCAACATTTTAAAGAGAGAAATTTCATATAAAAATTTTTATTTAGGTCTTTTCTTGAGAGAGATCTAGCTACATGTGGCCTACATTTCTTCTACAGAGCTGATGCTGAGCTGCGCCTCTCCCACTGAGGTCAAGCAAATCCTCTCTCCAATCTGCTGTAGTCCCCACCCACACCATACTGCTTCCTCAACAATGACACCAAGGATCAGATGCATGGTGTTCTGGCAATTTTGTTTCTTACAGTAGTAAAGAAATAAAAGTATTTTGAAAAAGTGAAAAATGAGTGTTTCTGTTAAGGATTTTTAAAAAGACATACCAAGAAAGGCATTGTTTTAATAAAAATAGGAGAAGGCATATTTGTAAAAGTAAATAAGATGTTTAATACACTAAGTATGTACTTAGTACATCAGGTATCGTAACAAAACAGATAATGTATTATCAACAAAAACAGCATAACAAAGATACAATGAAACTAAACTAACCCAACTCCCTGTCTTCATTTAGTCCACAAGTCTAGTCATGTAAGATATTTGGGCCTCAAGACTGTGCTCTAGCAGTCTTGTTGGATCTAGAAGACTGTTTGCCAATATGATAGAGAGGATTCAAGTATACATTGAATAGCACTTCTATCTGATGATCTCTAAGGCCAATTATCCTGAGATTCTATAGAGATCTATTACTTATATGAAATAATATTTGGTTCTTACAGTACTCTAATTTTCCTTTATTAGGTTATTTGAAATTACATATTTATATGTTTTATTATGATACTATTATTACTATTATCATTAGCTCCCTAATCTGTAAGCTGCTTATAGAGGAGAACTATGTATGTTTTTCTTGCCAAATTTATTGCTCCTATAGAATAGGTACCATAGGAGCAAAACTATTTGCTGAATAGATGAATATAAAGAAATATCCTAAAAAGGCAAAATAAATTTGGAGGAAATAAGTGAAGAACACTAACAGAAAAAGAATGTTGAAGGCAAAAAGAGAGAATTTATTTAACTAGAAACTGGCAAGAAGAAATAATCTGGATGCAAATAAGTAAAAATGTTCACTAATGGTGATATACAATTAGTAGGCTAGATTCTTTACAGAACTGCATGCTTTTCCATGACCTGGTAAGCATTATACCAAAGAGTATCACATGTGAGATAGACCAAGATACCCGAAAAGATCAACCCCGGAACTGCACTAAGTTTTGCATTTTAAATAGATTGATCACATAGTAAAAACATTTTAAAAAATAATAATGAACTGCAGGGTAACAGCATGATTAAGGCTAGGGCTCTGGGAGCCACACAGTTGAGTTCAAATTCTAGTTACACATTACACTAACTTTGTGACCTTGGACAAGCAACAATTTCTGCATTCCTTATTTCCTCACCTATGAAATGGAGCCAGTAACAACATTTCTCTCACTGTGAAGCTAGATGAAATAATACATAAGTTGAACAGTGCCTGGACATAAGCTCTCGATGTCAACAATGATGATGATACAACCATGACAACATCGATGATAATGAGTGTTCCAATCGCAAGTCTAATACCTTGCTCTATAGAGAATACTGGGTAAATAAGCTTATTAGTTTGCTTGAGTTGCTAGAACAGAAAATTCCAGAGTAGGTGACCTAACCAACAGAAATTTATTTTTCACAGTTCTGAAGACTCAAAGTCCAAGAGGAAGGTGCCGGCAGAGTTGGTTTCGGGTGAGGCTCCTCTTCCTGGCCTGTGACCATCTTCTCGCTGTGTTCTAACATGCCCCTTTTCTCTCTGCACATGCACTCCTGCTCCCGATTCCTCGTCTTATATGGACATCAGTCCCTTTGGACTAGGGTTCCACCTTTATGGCCTCATTTAACCTTAATTACTTCCTTCAAGGCCCTATCTTCAAATACAGTCACGCCAGAAGCTATGGCTTCAACTTATGAATTTGGGGAAATACAATTCAGTCCATAAACAGAGAGAAAATACTTGTCAATAAATATTTAATCCTCTATATGTAAAATACTATCTGCCACATTGGAAAAAATAACAGTTAAGTAAAACTTGCAATAAATTTTATATAAAATGTCACAAATCTGTGCAAAATACTATCTATAATACACTACCACCTATAATTAAATGCCAGAATAAGACCAATGCATGTAAACTGCGACTGCATGCTGAAAAAACACATTTCCTCTATGTTGCAAAAGTTAAAATGAATTTATCATAATGGCAAAAACCTGTACAATGATAAAAATAAGTTTAGCCATAATTATGTTAATCACATCACAAAATGTATTATAACTACTTATTGTATTTACTAACCTATTGAATGAATTGTATTTGTGTGTGTGTGTGTGTGTGTGTGTGTGTGTGTGTGTGTAAAAGTCTTGCTCTGTCCTCCACCTGGAATGCAGTGGCACAATCTCGGCTCACTGCAACCTCCGCCTCCCAGGTTCAGACGATGAATGAATTGTATTTTTATGTGACAAACAAAAATGTATCGACCACAAACAACTATGTTAAATATATGAATACGATATAACTCTTTACCTGCTGAAAAACGTCTGTCCCCTCATCATAGTCCACCATACTGAAGAAGAGCTTGTTACAAAAAGCAGATGAATAGCGCCAGGAGTTCGCCAGTATTTGATATTCTTCATTAGCTTGCCTGATAAGAATAATGGGCCATAGTAGAAACACATCAGTACTGAAGCATCTACAAAGCAGTTATTAAAACAGACAACCCTAGGACAAGCACTGGCCAGTTTTTGTACAGACTGTAAGAAAAGCATAGTTTTTAAAATATTTTTTTTTAAAAAAAGGATTCTCTGACATGAAAATTACATAAAATTCAAATTCTGATGTTCATAACTACAGTTTTATTGCGACACAGCCACATTTATTCATTTACATATTGCTTATGTGCTATAAGGGCAAAGTTGTAACAACAAGACAGCAACTACATGTATCACAAAGCCTAGCCCTTTAAATAAAAATTTTGCCAACTCTTACTCTAGGGAATAAAAACATTTTGCAGCATTCCCTATACACATAAATTAAATATTCCAATAATGTTTAGTAAAATGCAAAGACCAATTTTTAAGAATATTTGCAACTTAGTTTAACAGAAAAACAAAATTAATAGTTTTAAAATTTTAAATACTTATACTCCACCTTATTCATTCCATTTATCTCAAAATGCATTTACATTCAAACCAACAGTAAGCAAAGATTTCTCTTTGTAGCTAAACCAGATGCCACAAACATTCCTTCTCTAAGATGATATTTGTTTCTACTTTGAACACATTTTTATTAGATATTTTGCTAATTTTCCAGATGATAAAACTTTATGTAGGAACAGAGAAGAAACAGAAAAATGGCATTTATAGGAGGATGTAAATGCAGTAATAGAAATAAGAAGCAACAAGTTATTGCTAAAACATTTTTAAAAAATAAAATTGCTTCTTCAGTATGGTTGACTGTTCTCTAGAGTTTATCTCCCCCCTCTCCCCAAAATGAAAATAAAGAAATAAAAAGGTACAACCTAACAATAACAAAAGGACTTGGAGCAGAGTCAGCAGCAGAAAGAGTTCCACAAATATCTGAAAAACAGAAAGCTGGTGAAAAGTTTTGAGAGGAAGTTAGACTCTCAAAGGAGATTGCAGTGCAATAAGAAGCTAGAAAAACATTAGATTCAGAAGCAGCAGAGGCTGGAGATTTAAAAAAAACATGAAGCTAAAAACAGATGTCATAATTAAACTTTTTTTTTTTTTTTTCTTTTGAGACGGAGTCTTGCTCTGTCGCCCAGGCTGGAGTGCAGTGGCGCGATCTCGGCTCACTGCAAGCTCCGCCTCCCAGGATCATGCCATTCTCCTGCCTCAGCCTCCCAAGCAGCTGGGACTACAGGCGCCCGCCACCAAGCCCGGCTAATTTTTTCTATTTTTAGTAGAGACGGGGTTTCACCGTGTTAGCCAGGATGGTCTCGATCTCCTGACCTCGTGATCTGCCCGCCTCGGCCTCCCAAAGTGCTGGGATTACAGGCGTGAGCCACCGCGCCCGGCTAAACTTCTTAATACTCAATAGTAGACCAAACTTCTGCACCCTCCCGAACCAGTCCCAATGTTAGCCTTCATCCCCACCGCAACGAAAAAAAACATGTATTTGAGGAAAACCTTATGTGATTTCTTAAAAACTTCCCAAAACAAACAGACTCTAAAAGAACGATCAGAAAACATGAAAATGGAAGTGTAACTGTAACTAACATACTTATAAAAATTCTGTCAGAAAAGATATTGTATTTATCAAGAACTGTGCAGGATCTGAGATTTTACCACATATATAATGCAAGCTAACGACCTAGCCTGTTACTGTTTCATGGATGCTGGCAGAAGACATGAGACTCCTGGGTCAGAGAAAAGGGACTTTATTAGTTCATTTTCATTTTCATTAGTTCTCTATCCCCCAAGTCTCACACGGTAACACAAAGGGCTCTTCATGGACTCCTGCACATACAGGTGACTGTTACAGGAGAGAAACACCGGGTTTAAAGGAATTATTGTTTTTATGGTACGTGATAACAAGATGATGCTTTGTTCAACAGGAGATGTCTTTTTTTTTTTTTTTTTTTTTTTTTTTTTTTGACACAGAGTCTTGCTCTGTCACCCAGGCTGGAGTGCAACGGCGCGATCTCGGCTCACTGCAAGCTCCGCCTCCTGGGTTGACGCCATTCTCCTGCCTCAGCCTCCCGAGTAGCTGGGACTACAGGCGTGTGCCACCTCGCCCAGATAATTTTTTGTATTTTTAGTAGAAACAGGGTTTCACCGTCTTAGCCAGGATGGTCTCGATCTCCTGACCTCGTGATCCGCCCGCCTCAGCCTCTCAAAGTGCTGGGATTACAGGCGTGAGCCACTGCGCCCAGCCAACGTCTTATTCTTTAAGGCTTGTCACTGCACATACAACCCTCAGAGTCTGCCCGCGTCTAGTCAGGCCTTTGTATTCTCGACATACCCAGTGAGAACATGCAGACTGCTTTGTTCATGGGTATTCACGGAAGGAAAAAACAAAAACAATATCATATAAAAAAGGAATAAAGATAGTAAAAGAGAGAGCACTTATATAGATTTCGAATATGACTGCCCAAATAAAACACCAATGTTAGAAGACAGAGTCGAATAAAATTCACAGAACAAAAACAACATAGGTGGAATGTATGACAGAATGAGAAGGACCTAGAGTCCAGTAAGTCCTTTTTCAAACAGGCATCACAGAAATAGAGGAGAGGTGAAACAGAGAAAATGGTATTTCTGTAAACAATACAATTAAAGGAGATTAAGTCTTCAAATTAAAATCATTTCCCAGTTCTGAATAAGAGGAATGAGAAAAGAACAACCTGGAGAGATACTGGGATATATCAAAACACTATGGATAAAAAGAAGATCCTAAAAGTTCTCAGAGAAAAAAGTTTCCTAAACAAGTGCAATCAATGAGATTGGGAATGGACTGATCATTAGCAACACTAGATACCGACAAATAGAAGAATTCCTTCAGAATATTATTTTCTATTTAAAATTGCACGTTGAGACAAATAATCAAGTTTGAAATAAACATGTTCATGGAAATGTAAGGAATCTGAAATTAGACCCCAAATTCTCAGAAAATTACCTTAAAATATAACTGATAGAAAAGGTAGTGTGAATGAAAAACTAAGAAAACTTAAGACTATGATAGAGCACTGTAAGAGAGGAAAAAAGGCAACTAGAAATGCAGTGAGTGAGGTAGCACGGAGAGAAGACGTAAAGAAGCTGTAGTCTGTGAAGCTATGATGCAACCAATACAAACTAGAACAGGAATTTTAGACTTCGAGATGAAAAGAATAGATTCTAAGTAATCATTAAAATCAGAAACAGCTAGAACATATTAAATCTATAGTAAGAAAACCGTATTTATTCCAACAGGAAAAATAAAAACAAAAAAATGAACATAAGAGACAAGGTTCAAATATGCAGCTTATTAAAATGTATCATAATTTTGATGAACTGGTGATTAGAAAGATTATTTAAATATATTCTTTTGAGCGGGTCAGGGGTTATCAACAATGGCACTGTAGAAAAGGAATCATAATGATAACCTACTACTTTGCCATTGATGCTACTTATGCAGAAATAATAATGTAAATGCTGTTTATTCCCTTTTAACTTTCTAAATCAACCTATAAACAGAACTCAAATGTAATAATTATGGTTACAGTATGGAATGTACATATTATGAACTATGACAATATAGAACGATAGCCAACAGAATTTGGTATGTAAAAGAGAAGAAGAAGAGGTGATGGGGAAGAAGATGTCTGCTCATCTTCATATCACAATGCGGGAATCAAAAAACATCAGCCATAGGTAATGAACAAAAAACACAAAGATGTTATTTAGTGTTACAGTGATAAACAAAAGAATAAACAAAAAGCAATGAAAGGTGAGATGAGTTAAATCTATACCTATCATAACAAGAATGTAAAGATAAGTTTACTGTATAAAATGTTGTTACAAGAATAACATTTACAGCTATTTTTTAAAAACAACAGAAGAAAAAAATTACAAAGCAGAAACATTCTCTGGTAGGATCATCTCTGGCCTAGCCTACCTGTGTGCAAATCAGATGAGTGCAAGGGCCTCTTCTGCAGTTCTTTTTTATAAACAAGAAGCACATAACATTGTTTTGATTAAAATATTATGTTTTAAGAGGGTTAAATATGAACAGTACTATAATCTAAAAACTTTTAACATAATACAAGTATTGAATACTAAAATGTAATTTAAAAAAATTAAAAAATAAAAAGTGATAAAGTAATGGGGAGTCAAAGAGCATGAATTCAATTTGCCTTCAAACTCTGTATTCCATATTACTCTACTTTTTCAGATTTAATGTCCCAATAACCAATTTGTAGATTCTAGCCTCTATTCTAAAGTCCAAAAATGTTCCCCACTACGTACATAATGAAGATAATGGGAAGAATAAAAGTCAAAAACCTCCATAACTTGGCCACAACTTACATAATCTATGTCTTTATAAAAATACCACACTCAAATAGTCTGTGTTTCACGAACATACTATGTCCATTCTTAACCACGTGCATGAAATACTTCACTTAGAATGTCCTCCCTTCTTTCAGAAGCTTGCTCAAAAACTGCCTCTCTTTAGGAAGTCACTTCAAATCACTATACTTACAATGCTTGCTGATGGAAATGTCTGAAACAGAAATTCTCAGCGACTGTGTAGCACTACTGATTTTATGCATAGCTGTTCTTATTACATATTGATTGTCCAATGGCTAGGATCTAGTACAGAAGTGGCATTTAATAAAGGTATAATGATACTGATGATGAATAATATAGTTTCATAGCCAGCCACTATATCATAAATACCCTTAAGCTAAGTTTACCACATTAGAATTTCTGAATTCTAGAGAGTCTACAACTCATTTAGTCAGATTTATGTCACTGGATAATGTCTCTTTTAAGGCAGATTTCCTTTACTTTAGTTATGGTGTTGAGGGGAAGAAAAAATGAAATTTTACATCTGTGTACTATCACAAACATATGCTGTTTGTCAAAGGAATAGTGTTCATGACTCAAAGGTTACAATGACTAAATCATCATGTGATATCCTATTAGTAATGACAATTTCATAACAAATGTTGAATCCAGATCTTAATCATCAGTGAAATTTATACTCAACATTTTCATATGTACTGCAATAATAAAGAAGTATACCTCACAGTCTCCACTTTTAAGAGGTTAAAGAATAGATAAGCACTCTAGTACATAAATAAGGTATACATATTTTAAAGAGGAATGTAGACTGTAGGTGCTATACAGCATACAGAGGATGAGATAATAGTGAGCTGGAACAGTTCGACAAAGTATGAATGTAAAAAAAAATTGGAAAATAATGGTGGTATGTCTGGAAGGACTGCACTTACAACAAGCAAGGACAGGGAGAGAAAAGTAAGGTAATAGAAACAGTATAAACAAAGACTACCCTGTCTGGAATGTGTATTCTGTGTTCAAGTAATAGAATGTAAGCTTCAGGGTAGAAAATAAACTCTGGAAGTGGTAGAAACATAAATAGGACCCAGCTTTTATTGTGTAAATAGTAAACAAGTGTTTCTGAAGTAAGTAGATTATGCAAAATACTATTTGAGAATGCTGTATCTCACAACAATATGCATGATATATTGGAGGAGAAGAAAATGAAGGTTTGGAACCCACTTTCAATGTTACTCTAATGGTCTGGCTGGGAAAACATATGAGACTATTAAAATATTATGTAAATGAAGATGTGACCTATTTCACATAAATTCTCCATTGCAACCTGGCAAGCCATAACATCCAGCAAAATTTTGTAGACAATATACTTAGGGATAGCTCTGGCTAGAATAAAGAATTCCACAGAAGCTAAAGCAAATCACATTTTCTTGACTCAAATACAATACTTGGGGAAAATTTAATAATGACAAGGCAAATGGGGGCTTTTTTCTGCTGAGTGTAATTCAGTAGAAACAGGGTCAGTAAACAGATCTGTATATCATTAAAAATAAATAAATGAGCCCGAGGAATACGTATTTTAATATTAATGATATCTCTTCAGAGTACAAAAGATTCATTAGAAAAAAAAAATGTGCCCCAATAACAAAGACCCTATGCATACTTACCCCCATTATCCCTTATGCGCCCTCCATATCCCAACTTCTTAACGTTTAATAGGGGACAGAGAAAACCTAACTAATGACAGATAAAGAAATTCAGAGGATCCTTGAATATGTTTCTGTCAGCTTGGACTGATGAGCAAAATGAGACATTACGAAAGCTTATTAGCACACTTCTGACCTCACTACCATCTGAAATGGCAAGTTAAAATCCACAAATACTCCAAGCACTTAACTAAAATGACTACATTTCCAACACTATTAACTGAAAAATATTTTGTTGTAGTAGTTCATAGTAATAGTAAAGGCCTAACTTCATGAATGTAGTGAACGCCATAAATTCTAATATATACTTATGCAGCCTGAAGAGGGCAGTCACGCTGCGTCAAAAGGATCCAGGAAGGCTTAGGCAATAACTGCAGGGCACTGTTCTGTTAAATGTGTTATAGTAAATCTTCTCCATATTTTATTATGGGGAAAAAAATCACTTAATCTAAATGCTACAATCTTTTATGTTATAATGCTTTTTAAAAGGTTATGTAAAACTAAAAAGAATTATATCATCTACAGTTCTACATATTTATTTCCCATGATGAATATAATTTTTAAAGAGATGTTTTAAGAAGTATAGCTTCTCTTTTTAATGTTAATCAAACTTCTTATAGCAGATTCGTATGAAAATACCATTGTATGTCTTTACAGTTATATACGTAAAATGAATTGTACTTATGCCATAATAAAACCCCAAATAAAAAAATTCTATAGACAGTGATACACAAAGATCTGGAGCGAGCACACTCACCTATTACTTAAGGTTCTGGTCCTCGAGAAGAAAAAAACAACTGATAAACAACACCCTGCACAAAGACTTCTAACACAGTTGCTCCTCTGGTTGCGCTATACATATCAGGGCCCAGCTGAATTCACTGAAATATATTAAGTAGACCTAAGGCCTCTGAAGAGCTGAGAAATCAACAGTTCACTACCATATTGTAATTGACTGAATAATTCACTAGATGTAAGATAAAGAGGTTGTGTTTCTTAAAGCTGTTCCCTGTGCATCCATTTTCTTCATCAGACCTAAGTAGATCTTTCCTTGGAAAACAATTCTAACATATGTGATCCAAATACATATTTTAAAGCAAAACTGTATATGAACATAAAATATGTTGAAGTGTATACAATACGCAGAGTTAGCACTCAGTTTTTGAAAGTCAAAGAAATTTTGGTTCTCCTTAAAAAAAAAAAAACAACTAACAGTAACATATTAATGCTTAAATGTGGTATGCCAAGAAGAATGTCACACAATGTAGTAAGGAAATCATTTAACGCATTGTTCGTTTAACAAGTTTTCTTACTGTATTAGTCCATTCTCATGCTGCTAATAAAGACATACCCAAGACAGCGTAATTTACAAAGAAAGAGGTTTAACTGACTCACAGTTCAGCACAGCTGGGGAGGCCTCAGTAAACATGATCATGGCGGAAGGCAAAAGGGAAGCAAGGCACCTTCTTCACAAGGCGGCAGGAAGAAGGAGTGCCAAGCAAAGGCGGAAAAGCCCCTTATAAAGCCATCAGGTCATGTGAGGACTCACTCACTATCATCAGAACAACATGGGTCCCTCCCAAAACACATAGGGATTATGGGAACAATTCAAAGTGACATTTGTGTGGGGACACAGTCAAGCCGTATCATTTACCTACTACATATGATTATAATATGTATTTAATATTTGTGCAACTAATAATAAAGAATTAGCAAATAAATGAATAAATGGGTGAATTAATTCAATGTTTGGAAGAGGTAAGACATACAGGCCACTGCCTCAAGATACTTCAATCCATTATAACACTTATAATCTTAAATAATAAAAACAAAACAACAAAGCAATGTAAACCTTGTTTATGATAACATGCCCAGGAACTATCATGATACTCAAAAAATATCTGTTAAGTAAATTCATATATATATATTGCAAAACCTGAGAAGTCAAAATGAGGAAAGCGTTAACTCACATCTTAAATCCTGCAGGATTTCCCAGTAAGTCTATTCTTCAGCTTCATGTGGTAAAGAACAGAATATACGCAGACTTTAAAGACCTTTATTGTAATGAATCAAAAAGGTAGACACAAGATTACAGAAACTGTGTCCCAAGAGATGGAGATTATGTCTTTTCTAGTCAACTGATAGTATTGCCGTCACAAGAAACATTCATGGAGATTTAGTGTATGCCAGGAACCCTTTCGTATATTTATTCATATTTATCTTCATTTTTTTAACTTTTCTCATCAAACTTATTTTTAATAGACTATTTTTAGAGGAGTTTTAGATTCTCAACAAAATTGAATAAAAAGCATAGAGATTCACATACTATTCTTAAATAATTCTTGAACTACTGATTAACCAGTTAACTATCTGAGTATATGCATTATATATTGTATAGAGAGAGATCTATCTTGTGATACTACAAAATTCCATGACAAGCAACTATTCTACCCAGTAATATTGTTCCAAACATCTCTAATTTTGTTAATGAACTGGCAGACTACCATAGGAATATCTTATGCTAAACACTGAAGAAATGTTCTTGGACTATTCTTTTCCCCCAGCTTCAATGAGGTATAACTGGTATATTAAAAAGCCCACACGATTAATGTATATAATGGGTACAATTTGGTGAGTGTAGACATATGTACACATTCATGTTACCACCACCACAGTCAAGTTAATAAACATTTCCATCACTTCCAAAAGTTTCCTTGCGTCTCTTTTTGTCTGGTTTTCATTTTTGGCAAGGCCTTTAGATACATATAAAATAACCATAATACTTTTATCATGACTTCCAAACAATGTAACACTACACCTATTATTATGATGTGGCCAAGTAGAAAGAACATAGGTAACACATGAATTTTGAAAATCTGTACTTGTGGACTGGCTTTCAACTTTGTAATGTATAAACTTGAGAAAGCCACAAATACTTTATTTTCCCCTTTTTAGCATGACAATACTAGTAATTTCTCTCTCAACAGTTGTCATGAGGTTAAAAACATGAGGCATAACGAAGTCTCTAGTAAATGGCAAAGGAGTATGCAAACCTTGGGGTACCCACCATCTAGCTTAAAATTCATTGACTATTTGCATTTTCAGACCTTACTTCTAGTGTCTTCCCCTCTCACTCTCTGCACCAGACCCAAATTTTAATTTCCTTTGATAAACTAGGCTTACTCTTGATATAGGATTTCTGTGAAATTCCTTCCTTCTTCTCAATGCAACTTTTCTTTTTTTTTTTTTTTTTTGAGACGGAGTCTCTCTCTCTGTCGCCAGGCCGGAGTGCAGTGGCACAATCTTGGCTCACTGCAACCTCCACCTCCCTGGTTCAAGTGATTCTCCTGCCTCAGCCTCCCGAGTAGGTGGGACTACAGGCGAGTGCCACCGCGCCCAGCTAATTTTCTCTATTTCTGGTAGAGACAGGGGTTTCACCATGTTGGCCAGGATGGTCTCGATCTCTTGACCTAATGATCTGCCCACCTCGGCCTCCCAAAGTGCTGGGATTACAGGTGTGAGCCACCGCGCCCGGCCTCAACCTAGCTTTTCTATAGCTACAGAGCACACATGGCACACAATACATATAACACACTCAGTATACATGGCAAAGAGGTATGTCTAGTACATGGGAGCAGATAAACATGCCTCATGAATTCCTAGTCTTCGTGTATAACTTAACACTGCAATTTATCACTCCCTTAAATAAACCTTTTTGAACACACAGATTAACAGGAAAAACCAGGATCCTCTCATAAATCTCTGTGCTTTTCCTTCATGACATTTACGAACTAGACTCTGAGATAATGAGAGCAGCAGCCAGGTCAGTTTGTTCACCATCATCTCCCCTTGGATCCAGGAGAGAATTTATACACAGTGACCATTCAATAAAAATTGGTTCAAAAATATATGCCAGTATCAATATAATAGCACCATACTAGTATCCAGTTCCACGACAAAAAGCCACAAATTTATAAAATGAGGTTTCTTTTTGTCCCTAGTTCTATTTAAGATTCTTTAGGGGCAGGGGAGGCTTATTCTACAGATCTGAAAAACTAAATAAAAACTAAAATGAATATTAAATATATAACTTCTTGCCAAGACCAGGAGAAAACATTTCAGAATTATTAAAAGGTTGTGTGTTGGGCGTCCCCAGTACCATCACCACGTTTGGTGATTCACTAAGAAGACTCAGAGGAATCAGCACATGGTCACATTCATGGTTGAGATTTACTACAGAGAAAGGACACAAAGCAAAATCAGCAGAGGGAAAAGGCACACGGTGCAGTCTGAAGTGAACCAGATAAGTTTCCAACAGTGACTCCCTGTCAGGTCACACAGGATCAATTCCGTTGTGACACGTGTAAAGTGTTTCTACCAGGGAGGTTCATTACAGATTCAGTGCCCAAGAAGGTTGGTCATGTAGATGCCCTCTGCATGGTAGGTGGCAAAATTCCAAACTTACACAAAAAAAGCAGGTGTTCAGCATTAACCACATTGTTTGTAAACAGTTCAGGGACAGTGAACCACCCTTCTCAGCTAAGTAATGGTGGAAAAATTCCCAAAATCCAAGTTCCCATATGGCAAGCAAGGGCCACACTTGGGAGCTCCCCTTTCTAACGATAACAATCTCAGGCCTGCTATGTTAACTCTCTTCTGCATGGGCACATGATAATCACTGTCTTCTGATAAATAAAAAGAATATTATTTTGTTCACTGTATTATGGTGACAAAGACAACAACCTATCACAAGAAAGGACTATATCTGAAGTGGTTTTACTCATATTGACTGACTGTACTAAGTCATCCTCATGGGTCCAAAAAAAAAAAAAACGACTCTTATGCATCTAAGAGAAATTATTTGAGGACTAAGGTCTGAGACCATGAAAATTAGTAAATCTCATTTAATATGTTAAATGACTAACATAAACTAAAATCATTGAAACCAAGAATAAATGCTTAAAAATAATACAAAGATGAATTGTAATTTATGACTTTATATAATAGTTGCAGCTTTAGATATAAAAATGCAGAAAGTTTTATCTTTAAATGCTTAAAAGCAGCTATCAAGATTAGAGTTTTAAAAGTCATTTTTTCATTTATTTCAGTTATAACCTATATAAATAAAGCATTTTTAGAGAAATAAAGCACCGTTTTGTATGATCTTTACTCCTGTAGCTGTCTATCAAGAAACTTTTCAATGAGTTTTTCATCAATATGAAAAAATTCTCATTCATTTCATTCAATAAAATCCCACTAAGCACACAGAAAGTCCAAAGCCCTGAACATCACGTGATCTAGCATCAACACATGATCATCATCACTGAAGCTCTGAACATCATGTGATCTAGCATCGACACATGATCATCACTGAAGCGCTGAACATCACGTGATCTAGCATCAACACATGATCATCATCACTGAAGCCCTGAACATCACGTGATCTAGCATCGACACATGATCATCACTGAAGCCCTGAACATCACGTGATCTAGCATCGACACATGATCATCATCACTGAAGCCCTGAACATCACGTGATCGAGCATCAGCACATGATCATCACTGGAGCCCTGAACATCACGTGATCTAGCATCGACACATGATCATCATCACTGAAGCCTTGAACATCACGTGATCTAGCATCGACACATGATCATCATCACTGAAGCTCTGAACATCACGTGATCTAGCATCAACACATGATCATCATCACTGAAGCCCTGAACATCACGTGATCTAGCATCAACACATGATCATAATCATCAGTGTAATGCTAGTATTTGTCCTCAGCCAGGTACAGTGGCTCAAGCCTGTAATCCCAGCACTTTGGGAGGCCAAGGCAGGTGGATCACTTGAGGTTGGGAGGTTGAGACCAGCCTGGCCAACATGGTGAAACCCTGTCTCTATTAAAAATACAAAAATTAGCCAGGCGTGGTACCACATGTCTGTAATCCCAGCTACTAAGGAGGCTGCAGCAGGGGAATCACTTGAACCCAGGAGGCGGAGAGGTTGCAGTGAGCAGAGATCATGCCACTGCACTCCAGCATGGGCAACAGAGTGAGACTCTTGTCTCCAAAAAAAAAAAAAAAAAAAAAAAAGAAAAAAAGAAAAAAAAAGTTTGTCTTCAAAGAACTTCCTTCTGTGTGGTCAGATTCCAATTTCTCCTACAAAGATTAAAACTATACGCGACAATTACTGAGTTCCTGTAGGATAATGATAACCAACAAAGAACTCCAAAAACCATGTAGTTCTCCAAAAAGCATAATCAAAACTACTAATGCCAGTACAGTAACTGGGATAAAAAGAATCCTACAGAATATAAATGTAAATGGAAGTGAGGAAATTAACATTTATAACTTCAGTAATCCATGCAAGAACAGGAAGGTGGAGACTGTACAGGGAAAAAGGGGTACGAGGGATCCTAGCAGAGGCGAAATACGGGGGGCGGCGGGGGTGGGAATCACCCCAAGAAAGACAGAATCTCAGCTGAATTTGAAAACACTGAGAACAGGTCTATAACATGGTGGGCAAGAACAGTGGCTACTGTGGAACATAAAGAAAGGGGCTTGGAAGTACACAGGAACAAACATGGCAGTCTTAAGAATGCACCACTTTGTGGGGAGTGGGAAACAACTTAGAAGAAGCAGACATGCATTAGTGGGTTGGTGATAGAGTGAAACAGAGAAGCAGGTCATGAAAATTAAGGGACCTGTGGAAACATAAATTATTTCAGAATCAGAATATGCCACTGCAAGAAGGAGGAGAGAGGAAGAAATAGGAGGGAGGAAGAAGTGAGCGGGGGAGAAAAATAAGCTTGCTGAACTCGACCTATTTCACGTTATGAGCAGAAAGGGTACTTGAATTAAGAAATCAGTAGGCCACTCAAAAGTCTAGCCATCCCCACCCCACATATAAACTATGGTTTCTGGTCTGGTATAGGAAAGGGGTAAAAAAAAAGTTTTAAGAAGCAGCAAATGATCAACAGCATCTGTACAAGGCTACTACAAAAATAAATCAGAAAGAATAAAAATTCTTCAACTGATAAAAAATTTCCCTAAAAACAAAATCATGAAGAGAAAACTGAAACAAAATACTCCAACCTAAAGTAAATATCATTAAACAAGCAGTTGAAGACAGAAAATCTCAAATCAGAAATTAAACAACTAGAAATAGAAATAAAAAACAAAAGACGATATATCACAGTTAGTAAGACTCAGGAAACCAGTATGTTTCAAAAAAGCAAAACAGACAGAATCCACGCAGAAATGAAGTCTGTATTACAAAGTCTTCAAAGAAAAATGGAGTTGACTGAAAATAAATAAAGGACATTAAGAATAGGATTAAAAGCAGGTAAGAGAACAAAAACAAAATAAAAGTTTAAGAGGGAATGGGGTGGATTTTAAAATATTAAACATATGGAGAATTAGAGTCCCTGAAGTAGAAAAACAAAACAATGAAATAGAACTGGTATTTTAAACTACGATATAATAACATTTCTAAAAATAAAGTCCCTATATACATATTGAAGAGTTCTTTGTGTGCCTGAAAAAGGCAACCTAGAATAGTCAACTGTAAGACATAGTATAGCAGAATTATCAGACTTCAGTGAAAAAATTTAAAATATACTTTGGCCCACAAGGCAAAAAAACAAATCACATTCAAAGTAAGAAAACTGGATCGGCATCAGTATCTCACCAGCACCAAATAAAATTTCTTGGGACTATGTGAACAGACTACAAACACTCAATTTCCCCAGCAGTGAAAGAAAAACTGCTATCTCTTCAGACTTGACCCCAAAAAGGAGGCCCAACACCTTAATGAACTCTTTAGGCACTGAAATAAGTTAATCTCCCACTGGAACATTCGTCTTCATCATTTATATAGACTAGCCCACAAACCAGTGTCCTCTGAAAAGGAAACAATGCAACAGGCTGCACTGCAAATGTTCAGCAAACCACACCCCGTATCTTTGGGGACACACAAACCTAATGACTGCTTCCAACTACAGTCTCCATGACTGAGAATTCTGCTGACTAATGCCTACGGCAACATGAGTTGTCTTCCATGTACCAACGCCAGTTTGATTTCTGGATGGCAACTGCCTCACAAGACCACCAAGTACAAACAAATGCCTAATATCTCTATTCTGGGGTTGGTCTACTTGGATCTGATGACTAAGGTATTAAGCGTCCACCAGGCTTTCCTTGTGGAAATGGTATATTTAAGAGTGCAGCTGACCCTGGCCACCCATCAGTTTTACATTAAAAAAACAGCAGCTATCTCTTGTAGCAAACTTTATCCCTAACTCTGCCACCCAACTCAAAGTTAATGGCCCAGTGGAGCCCTCAATTCACAGAGGTTCCCTAAATGCCCAGGCCTGAGTAACTGATGATTCTGCTAAGTTGAAATCCGATTGTGCTTAACGGGCTGCTGTGGCTGCTTCCCCTCAGAAACAGCTGTGTAATACCAAAAACAGGCGTGGTTGTTCTGCTCAGTGGGCAGAACTCAAGGCAGTCCTCATAGTCCTGACCAAGACCCACTTTGACAAATCTTCCCACATTTGTACTGACTGTTGCCACTGGCCTAACCATATCATCTGCCACTTGGAAGACTACAGACTAAGAGATAAAGACACCGCTCTTTGAAACATCTATCTTTTGAACAACAAATCACACATGCGAACTAGTCACCAAGAGGTCACTTAACGTAGTCGCCCACAGTGAGGACCCATAATCTGACAAACCATCTGGAATCAAGCTGCTAATTAAACCTACACTTACCAGATCACCACCATTGCTACCTGGCTCCATTACTGTAAGTTCATGCAGAAGCTACAATGAATACTAGACTTGAGACTCTTATCAAACATTGGCCTGTTTACCTTGCAGGGCAGCAGCCATGCTAGTCAAGGCATCATACGCATCTGTTCTTAGCAAACTGACTTTAATGAGCCTTTGTTCTTTTGTCGGGGCTACCACTGGCACCTTACTACTATTACGACTCTCACTGTGAGAGTACAGTGTGTTAGAGTACATTGTGCTAGTTAACTGTAGCCATTCCATTGTGAATTTTTAAATTAAAATATGTCATTATTTCTGGCTCTCTGGACTATATTACAGTCTAATAATACTGTGCCTTTTGCCACAAAAGCCACCAAAACATAAGCCAATAGGTAAGGCATTCAGCAGTCATTCCATGTGCCCTAACATCTGCTAGCATCCAGCATTGTGACATGCATTTGAGCCACCTCAAAAATTAACATGAAAATATGTGTGACTCGACTTCCTCTCCTCTTTTTGTCCACACACCTTCACACGGCAGTTTGGTGACTAAACACATCTATCCCAAGAAAGAGTTCATCTCTTCTTGGCTGCTTCCTAAGAAATGATCAATACAAGAGATGTGGGCATTATTCAGATCTATTTTGAAAAATTTAAGATTCTGTCCTGACCATTCCCGGGCATAATGCTTCCTTTCCTTCCTTGACAGTTACCTTGAGGAAACTCAACCAATATATCCCCTGGGTGGCAGCCTACCTTTGGGGGGAAAAAAAAAAGGCTTAGGAAATTCAGATTTAATCTGGGTTCAGTCACTGAGTTCTCTTGTTTTACTGACATGGTCTTAGTTAATAAGGATAATGACCACTTGGCTGAGTGTACTTCACACTAAGCCCTCCTGCAGTGGCCTACGGAGGCCAAAGTGAAGGATGTAATCAGTCTCTATAAATTTCATTGAAATGCCCTTATATCTCTCATACTAAAACTCTCCAGACGAACATCTGATAATCTGGGTGTTAGTACGGGATAACTGGAGAAAAGGTGAAGTTACAGATACTCAGATGGAGACAATGATTTTATGAGGGTAAGCAAAAATTCTAGTATGTGAAGATGAAAATACAGATCCTAGGAGGTAGAGAGGGAGAGACAGTAAAATCTTTTGTCTTTGAGAACCACCTTTGAAGACTTCCTCACATGAAAAAACACACTGGTGCAGCTCTCTGAAACCATCAACTGCTGGATCTGCCATCTTCAACCAGTGGGGTCTGAACAAACTTTGTCATTCTTCTTAATCTTAAGACGGAATTTATGGAAGTGTTAATGGAAGACCCCAGCTTTCATGCAAAATATCAATTGCCCTTTCTCTCATGTTTCTCTCAGCCCCACTCCTGTGGCCATAGCTCAGTCTTTCTTAGGAGAGAACAAGGGATGGCCTGCTAGTGGCATAGTCAATAAAACAGATTGGAGTAACTAACTACTCCCTGCGGGTCTGTCTAGAATCGTGGACACAATGTATTCATCAAACTGAGTTGGAGGAACCAAAGTCTACCAGCCAGCCAAGAGGCTACACTGAAGGCACTGCCAACCTGGGTTTCTTAATGATGAAGGTCCCATTTGGAAGACCTCAATAATTGTAAGCAAAACTTCACAGGGGCACTACATACACTCCCCAGGGCTGGACTTCTCATGCAAAAGTTTAATACCATCTTGTCTTTGCTCCAATACCACATTAGGTATGATGAACTATACCAGGAATGGGTTGTAAGAGACCTTCAAGTGTTTATGGAAGTATACAGCCCTCGGATCACAGTAGAGATCTCTCTGAAATGAGGCTAGCCTTCAGATACCTGGGGGAGCTGACCCAGAGGGATATTTGACTTGTGTTTATGCATCCCTTGTGGGATGTTTTGTTTATGGTGAGAATCATCCAGTAGGTAAAAGGTGGTGTATCAGTTTCTCTGGGTGGCCATAACAAAGTATCACAAACTGGATGGCTTAAACAAAACAAAAAAAACCTCATAGTTCTGGAGGCTAGAAGTCTAAAATCAAGGTATGAGTAGGGCCATGCTCCCTCTTAAAACTGAAGGGGAGAATCTTTCCTTGCCTCTTCCTAGCTTCTGATGATGGCTGTCAATACCTGACATTCCCTGGCTTCCAGCTAAATTATTCCATTTCCCCACCTCTGCCATCAAAAGGCAATCTCCCTGTGTGTCTGTAACAATGCAATAAAATAGAATTTAGTAAAAAAATTGCCCTCTTTTGCTGATATGGCATCGGTCATATTGGATTAAAGGCCTGCCCTGCCTGAGTATCACCTCATCTTAACTAATTACATCTACAACTATCCTATTTCCAAATGAGGCCACAGTCTGGGCTACCTGGGGGTTAAGAATGCAGAATACCTTTTTGGAAAGAAACAATTCCACATATAACAGGAGGTAAGAAATTTATCACTAACTTTCACCGAAGTGATCAATAATACCACTTCAGCCTCAACTCACTGAGGCATTCACATCAGCTTCAACTCACTGAGTTGCTATGGATGAGAGAACTACCCTAGACGACTTCTTTGTGGACCAAGACAGATCCTGCTATACCTGTATTAATGTCTCAGGCCAAAGAGATAAAAGTATGGAATGAGGGAAAGAGAGAAGAAAACACGTAATGCTCTGCTACAATAATACGTATCTAACTGAAGTCATAATTTTAAAATACGTATACACATCTATATACACACACACATCCCCACAGAACCATATCCCTTAGCTCTACTAAAAAGGCCTCAAAGCAATAATACTACCTCAGCAGTAAAGCGTACACCTAGCTAAGTTTTTGCTTTCTAAATATCATTTCCTACGAAGAGGAACCAGGGCTCCTTGAAAAAAGTGCTGATTACAGTTCCACGGCAGAGAACATACAACGTAAGCTTAGAATATCTTGTACCAGAAAGTAGACTAAAGGAGATACACTATGATATAGGAGTTGGTTCCCACAGGTCAAATTTAGGACAATCTGAACATGAAGAAGAATAATCCTAGTAATGGATTAGGGAATGAAAAGAATCTTTGAGTTGGAATACTCAAAACAAAAGGTAAGTGAGGTTGGCAAACCTTGCCTTTACAGAAGAATGACAACTAATTAATGTAGAAGAAATCACTTAATTTGAAAATCTCCATTTCACAATCACTAATGTAATATCAAGTTCAGACAAACATTATAAATTAATACTACAAGTGCTGGGTAAAAAATTACTGAGAAACAGGATATTCAATTGATCTCCCTGTTTCCTTCCTCCCAAGCCACTTATCTCCCCAAATACTTAATAAAAGCAAAAAAAATTTCCCTGTACAATGGAGAGATCTGACAACCATCACCCTAATCAAGTGATTAATCTCAGCACTGGTATATGAACAAGCTAATATTATGGGCCTCCTGATAATATACAATAAGAAGTATTCCAACTAACTGCTATAGTACTCTTCCCTTGAATATAATCAGGAAGAAACAATCAGACAAATCCAGAGCATGGGACACTATAAAAGGCAAGTTGCTTGGATTCCTCAGGGAAAAAAAAAGTCACCATCATTAAAACAAATACTTTCTTGTTTAAGTGTGGAAACGTTATAGATTAAAAGAAAGAGGTGTAACAAATGTAACAGATGAACCTCAAATGGATCTCACATGGCATGGGGGTGCGGGAGTGAAATAAAAGACATTTTGGAGACAAATGCAAAATTTAAATATGAATTATATAGTAAGATTATATCACTGAACTAATATTAATTTACTTAAAAGTTATAATGGTGTTCTAATTATATAAGAATAGCCTTGGCCGGGTACGGTGGCTCACACCTGTAATCCCAGCACTTTGGGAGGCCAAGGCAGGCGGATCAGGAGGTCAGGAGTTCAAGACCAGCCTGGCCAACACGCTGAAACCCCATCTCTACTAAAAATACAAAAAAATTTAGCCAGGCATGGCGGCAGGTGCCTGTAGTCCCAGATACCTGAGAGGCTGAGGCAGGAGAATCGCTTGAACCCGTGAGGCAGAGGTTGTAGTGAGCCATGATCGCGCCACTGCACTCCAGCCTGGGTGACACAGCAAGACTGTGTCTTAAAAACAAAACAAAACACACACACACACACACACACACACACACACACACACACAACAGCCTTAAACTCAAGAGATGTATTACTGAAGTATTTAGGGACAATATTCATGATGTATGTAACTCATAGGTAGTTTTTTGCTAATATTTGACTGATTTCTTTTACCTATACTTAAAAGAGAGCAAAATGCAAAGTGGCAAAACATTACTAATTAGTGAATTTTGGTAAAGGGTAGCACAGGTGTCCACTGTACTAGTTTCAATTTTCTGTAAGCTTGAAATTAAAAAGATGAAGAGACTATAGCTGGACTTTAAAGGAAAAATTATAGAATATAGAAAAGAATTCAAGGAATGCTACAATGTCACATATATAATGAACGTTTGCTGTAAACAGTAAAAATGGTGGGATTATCCTATCTGAGGAAGAGACACCTAGGAAGAAAGTTAACACACTAAAGTTACGTCATATGCCTTCAATGTAAAAAATAAGAAAATTAAACTACATAGCTCAGCAGTAACTTGAGGGCATCATTTATACCAAACTGGTCATGGATTCACTCAAGCCTGAAAAATGTCTCACGTTAGCCAAACCAGAAAAAGAACATGTAAAAGGCATGACACTTCCCCAGTCTTGCAAAGAGGTGAAATACCTTGTTCAGGTAGCCAAGAAATTTAAGGAAACTTAAAAATTAAGGGCTATGAAGAAATATTATCAAAGGTAAGAGGAAATGATAAGGGTTGTAGTACCAAACCCCAAAAAAGTAATATACTTACAAGTGCTTTAAGTGATGTACAAGGGACCCAAGTTTACCTTATTTGTTAATTTCACACTCTAAACCCATGAGAGGTGTGACCTCTCTGTAAGGAAACAAAAGGGTGATAGGCTCTTTTCCACGTGATTTTAGCCAGCTGTATTCAATTCACCAGTCCCCATTATGAGACACATTCCTGAATAAAAGCTTTTCATGATCATACAAGTTTAGGATATGCTGGCGGAGAGATCACTGCCCTAAGACACTAATAATCTTGGTTAGGAACACAAAAGCAAGACACAATTACAGTTTACAGAATAGAGACAATAATGAATATGTGCACTTAAGGAAAGCATTAAATTCTAATAGCTCTGGAGTCACAAATCGCAACCCTGAACAGTTACTAGCTGTGTGACTTTGAAAAAATTATAACCTCTCAGCTTTAATATTCTCATTTATAAAACGAGTTTTGTTCATATCTAACTTTCACAATAATGAGAATCACATGACATAATATATATACTGTATATATAAAGGACTTAACATAGCGTCCCCAATAGTTTACACATAATAAACAAAAATTTTATTTTGTTGGGAGAGAATAAATGTTAGTTAATATGTAATGTATCAATGTAATGTTATTTATTCTTCTCAAAGTATTTTGTAATTTATCAATTCTTCATTTAACCGGAGTCCAATTATATATTAATCTCCAACACATCACCAAAACTTTGGTTATACAGGCAACCTGCTTGATTCTACATAAGTTCTTTATTTCCCTTCAACTGAATTTTCTTCTTAAATCTACTGATCCATAGTAACATCCTTCCATGAGGATATTTCGTACTTAGATTTTGTAATAAACCCTGGAAGAGATGAGTAACTTTGTAGGAGAATACATCTAAAAGAGTTAGCAATTATGAAGAATATTCCCCACAGTATAATTTGATTTAAAAAAAAAGTTTGGAGCTAACACTTAAGGGAGGTGAGAATTATATAGAGTAGTCTTAATTAACAACTTTATTTGGCCGAGGAGTTTGATGTTAGCACTGAGGGAGGTGAGAATTGAATTCCAAAATTTGTGAATAAACTGACTGTGTGAAGGAAGAGCAGAATTATCTGCTAAAAGGGCTTACAAGGAAGCCAAAAGCTCATTCACCAGCCTTTAAGCAAGGAAAATCAACTGAAGAATCTAAATGCAAGTTAACTCTAGAAGAAAATTTCGCTTTTTTTTTTTTTAAAGAAAAGAAAAAAGGCAAGTCTCACAAAGGAAAGTACTACGATTTTTAAATTCTAACTATGAACTTTTCAAAGATCCTAAACAATTATAAAGATTACGGCAGTGTTACAGAAGTGGTCCAAAAGTACACTGACACAGAAGGACCCAGGAGGAGTAATTCACGTGAAAAAAAAAAAAAAAAACAAGATGGCCGCAAATGACAGGGTCCCTTTCTCAGTGCATCTACAACTCCCTCTGATGCTTCATTTATTACTCAGAAATATAATTTGAATAATTTTTCTTGAAAAATATTTGTAGAAACTCCTCTTCACCTTTTCATCTTAGTTGTCACCTTGAAATCTCTTTGGTCCACTCTGCCCACTATCATATGGATTACAGAGCTCTCCTGGCTCAATAACAATAGACCTCAAGACCACTTCTCTACCACAATTACTTAACAGACGCCCCTTTGAAATTCATATCATCCTATAATATAAATTTTCATCCTCATCTACAAACTCCAAGGCATCCCTCTATAATCTCACTTTTTTCCTCTTCAGTTACCATACCATCCTAATATCAACATCTAATTTTATAATCTAGATATTACCACAGTCTCACAGTTCAAGCTTCTTTATACCATCGAAAATCATGTATATCACACTTCAGCAAGTTACTTATTAAATAAACCCTTTATGACAACTTGCTAATTTTCAACCCTATCCTACTTCTACACAAAACCTGTTCTTCACCCTTGTGGAAATCTAGCTTAACTGTATCACAACCAGTTTGTCAACTTTCCCTAGCTTCCTCTGACCCTCATCCAACTTTGCAACCATAGCTACATATTTCCCATATTCTCTCACCCGCACTTTCTACTCATTCTCCTAATCCACTTCACACCATGAAGAAAACAGGACCATTCCAAAGGAGCATGGTTCTTGCTACTAAATTGCTCAGTACTAGGAAAGAACATCATTTAATTCTACAGACTCTTCACTAAGAAGGTAGGTATTCTAGTTTCAAAAACGGTATCTCAATGCTACATGGTTATCCAATTAGTTAAGCCTTTCCATTTCCATTGCTTCTCAGTGAATAAAATACAAAAGCTACAAGTCATGAACCTGCTCCTCACCTTCCCTTTCTCTATACTGCTTTGCACAATAGATTTTAACTTTAACCTGTTCTTTCTTCTCTAACTATCCTACCCCGACACTGACCCATTAAATTTTCCAAGAACTTCAATCTCTTTCTCTTATAAATCCAAAACTCTTTTAAAATGCTAAGTTTCTTAAAATAGGCTATAATGAACAAATAAAAAGCAAATAAATGAAAAAAGTTGTTATAGGCTAGATGTCATTAAAAAATTAAGGGTCTGTATTTAACAAATGATTTAACACCAAAATGCATTAAGTAAAATACTATCCAAAGAATGCACCATTTAACAGTATGTTATGGTTTATGTTATTACAGTACATATAATTATATGTAACAGTGAAATAAATACTTAGATAATAAAATATTTCTAGATTGTTATAAAAATATAATGATTAAATATTTCTTCACTATACTAGTGATTTTAGGAAATCAATACATTCAGTTTTTAGGAACAAAAAAAGATTTTCTTAAAATATTTACAGTATTTTTTAAATGCCTGAAATGTTTTATTTTTAGGGGAAAACGAACTGATATACCAAAATGGCAACTAAGGTATTTTGTCTGAGTAGGGCTTTATAGCATCCCTTAATGTTACGGGATCCTTGGGGTGTCGCTTCGCCAGATGGAAACCTCTGTGGCCAGTGGCACCTTTGCCTGAGGTTCACTCTGGCCCACTGGATTCGTTTTGTCCACTCAGACTGGCAGTCTCCACTCAGCTCCCGCTACCGGCCAGGATCCCATGCCTGCCAACGGTACACCAGGAACAGAGCAACAAGAAGTGTGTGAGTGAGCATGGGGTCTGGCCACTGCACACAGCCAGGCATGCTGGCTAGAGCAGGGCGTGCAGCTCCAGGAACTGGAAGAGACACCAGCTCCCTGTGAGGCTGCAGGTGGACTGCAAGCAGCTTCCCCGGCCAGCACTGGGGAATGCAGTGGCACCGGAAGCTTGGAGACACCAGAAACCACAGGGCCCCAAAAAGGGAGTCACAGCCCTGGCTCAGGAAGCTCCCAGGTCTGGGCTCCCCAAAGGGCCACAGCTATTCTCTTCTTCTCTTCATCCACAACATGGCAAGCGAGGGGCATGTTCCAGCCCTCTTTGTATTACAGCTCTTTTAGCCTTGCCATTTGGCAGGTCCCAAGTTCTTGTCCAGCATCCAGGAAGAAAGAAGCACACAAACAACCGGAGGGTGAGTAAGACAAAGAGGAGCTTTAGTGAGCAAAAGAACAGCTCAGAGGGAACCTGCAGTGGGCAGCTCCTCTCCATAGCCAGGATGTCCTGACAAGTCTTCAGCTCTCAGTAGGGAGGGTACCTCCTTTCTGCCAGGCAGGCTGTCCTATAGTCTCTTCAGCTCTCAGCAGAAAGAGCAGCACCTCTCTGCATCTGGTCCTACCATTGTCTCCTCAGCTCTCAGCAGAGAGGAGACCCTGGGGTGGGCAGCTTCTCTCTGCAGCTAGCCATCTCTTTGTCTCATCATCTCTCCATCCTCTTCTCAAGTCTGGCTGAGTCTGAGGTTTTTATGGGCCAGATATAGTGTGCGCTGACTGGTGCATGGGTGAGAGTAGGAAAAAGTACCACACTTTCCCACTCTGTTCAACGGGACCGGCAGCCCAGCCCCCCAGGCTTCAGGCCCTCCCAAGCTTGAAGGTGGGGTTTCATCAGGACCCTTCCACCCTGGAGCCTGTCTGCCTCCTGCAGCCATTCATGGTGCCCAGGTTGTTCTTGCCAAGGGGCACCTGCAGGCCAAAACCAGACTTCCCTCAGGGCCCCCCTCAGCCACTCTCCCATGCTCGTTTATGCCGAAAGTCCAGAGGGGACTGAGGCAGCAGGGGGCTGGCATGTCAGCTCTACCCTGAGCATGCACACACCTGGCCAAGCTCCAACAGTGCCCAATCCTTGCTCCAAGACTGGAGCAGCCACCAAGAGCAGGGAGAGACCAGGCAGTGGAAGCAGACATCTCCAAGCCTGCAGGGGTAAGGGGGGCCTTCCTGGGCCACTGAGAGTGCAGAGAGATGCCTGAGTCCGCAGTCGCAGGTGGACAGTTGCAGCTGCGCCCAGGAGGGCAAGGTTGCTGCCTGCTTCCTGCCCCAAAGAGCACACGGATATACTGGTCCACAGCCATGACTTGGAAGGCTACAACCATGCTCGGCAGGGTAGGGCTACTGTCTGCTCCCCGCTCCCACTGGCTCTATGGAGCACAGCACTGCCCCAGACCCAGTTCCGCCTTGGGGTCCCCTCTCTGCCCACCCCTCCATACCTGACTGCCCTGCTCTCCCACCAGCAGGTGACTTGGCCTGGCCCCACTGCAGTGGCCCCCATAGCTTCAGGGACTGTCTGGCTTCTCCCTATTCCCCGTAGAAGTGGCAGGTGACAGCAGTGACCAGGGACAGGGTCTGGAGTGGCAGAGGCTCCAGGCCTGGGAGTGGGTCCTGCCTAGGCTCAGGAGGGTGGGGGTGGCACAGTCAGCTACCTTGGGGACACAGGGCACAGGGGGCACGGTGCACACGGGTCTCCCCACTGCCACTGCTGCTCCTGCAACCACTCCCACCACTACCACCCAGCCTCCCTCGCCACAGCTGGAACTATAGCAGTGGCCTCTTCGGATGGCCCGCTGCTGCCATCGTTAAGGTATATATACTCTATCCTTATGTGCTAGCCCAATTCTGACAATAGTGTTTATACACTCTCAAGTACTGGTCCTCAAATTTGATAGTAATAGAATTCAAAATCACCTAACGTGCTGTTTTTCAAAATATTTTGCTCACCATGTTCTCTACTCACTTTTAACCATGCCCCAACATACACTCATTATTAGGTTGTGATAAGATGCTTCTTAGAAATTTTAGAACACTCTCATTCCCTTTCTACCACCTAACCTGAGTAAAACTGATTTTTTACATTGACCCAAGTTACTAATAACTTCAGTCTCCACTACAGCTCAAAATGATTTAGAAGCCTAAACCAAGTCTACAATGAATATACAACATGGACAATGCTGGCACATGCAGTTATAGTACAAAATGTGTTTGCTCTTGAACATGTGTTCAGCCAAGAAGATATAAACAAACTGTGCTGTGCTTAACCATCGAGGAAATGGATTATGTAATTTATAAGTTTCTGGAAGATATCTCCAGACCCAGATGATTTTACTGGAAAATGCTACCAAACACTTAAAGAAGAGTTAACACTAATTTTATACAATATTTCCCAAAAATTAAAATAGGTAACATTCCCCAACTCATTTTATGAGTACAATATTACCCTGATACCAAAACTAAACAAAGACACTATAAACAATAAAAACTACAGACCAGTGTCTATCATTAACTTAGATCAAACTTCTTCAAAAAAAAATTAGCAAACTGAATCCAGCAACACATAATAAAATAATATGACACAATTAAATAGTATCCATTCCTGTATGCAAGACCAGTTCAACATTTGAAAATCAATCAATGTAACTGATTATATCCATAGGCAAGAAAAACTACATAAAGTGACAACAAAAAAAATTTTTTTAATGCAGCACCTCATTCATGATAAAAACTGTCAGCAAACTAGGAATATAGAGCAACTTCCTCAACTTGATAAATACCACCTATAAAAAACCTACAGCTAATATCATACTTGATGACAGATTGAGTGCTTTCTTTCAAAGAGCAGATCAAACTGTAAAACATCAAACTAGAAAATTTTCAGAAAAAAAAACAGGAGAAGATCTTTGGGATCTAGGGCTAAGGAAAGAGTTCTTTAATTTGACAACAAAAGAAATAATTTTAAATGGATAAGCTAATAAACTGAACTTCATCAAAATTAAAACCTGCAAAAGACCTGTAATGAGGAGGAAAATACAAGTCACAAACTGGGAGAAAATATTTGAAAACCAAGTATCTGACGAAGGACTAGTATCTAAATATATGAAGAACCCTCAAAACTCATTTAAAGAATCCAATTAGAAAGGGGCAGAAGACTATGAACAGATACTTCATTAAAGATGATACATAGATGACGAATAAGCACATGAAAAGATGTTCAACACAATTAGTCATAGGGAAATGCAAAATTAAATCACAATGAGGTATTACTACAGTATCTATCAGAATGGCTAAAATAAAATAGTCACAACAGCAAATGCTGGTAAGGATAAGCAGCAACTAAACACACTGATGGCTGGAATGTGAAATGATACAGCCATTCTAGAAAACATTTTGGCTGTTTCTTATATAACTAAAT
Source organism: Homo sapiens (assembly GCF_000001405.40). Lineage (NCBI taxonomy): Eukaryota > Metazoa > Chordata > Mammalia > Primates > Hominidae > Homo > Homo sapiens. The sequence goes on along the minus strand of NC_000008.11, from coordinate 15,624,367 downwards.
AGAAACTACCACACAACCTAACCACCACACTCTGTGGCATTCTTCCCAGAAAAACGGTAAGTTCACATAAAAACCTGCAGAAAAATGCTCATACCACATTTATTTGCAATAGCCAAAACCTAGAAACGACCCCGATTCCTTTAACAAATAAATGGTTAAATAAACAGCAGTACATCCATATAATGGAACATTATTCAGTAATTTAAAAAAATAATTATTGATAAATATAACAACTTGGACGTATTTTTTTAGGGAATTACGGCTGATTTTTAAAAGCCAAACCCAAAAGGTCACGTACCATACAATTCCATTTACCTAAGATTCTTGAAATGACAAAATTATAGAAATGGAGAACAGACTAGTGATTGCCAGAGGTCAGAGGTCAAGTTCGACAGGTAAGAAGTACAATGGAGAGTGCGGGTGACTTTAAAGGGCAAGAAGTGTCCCTGCAGTAATAGAGCTGTTCCGCATTTGTCTGTATCGATGCCAGTACCCTACTTGTGAATTTGTACTATAGTTTTACAACAGGTTACCACTGGAGGAAACTGGGTAAAAGATGTGTACCTACAATTATTTCAAAATAAAAATTTCAATTTAAAAAAGTGTTTGTTGTATACTTTTGGACAAGTATTTATACTTGTCCAAAGTTTTCTTTAATTTATTCCTCCAGACAAACATTTCATTCATTTAAAACTGTTTACTTCTACAGCACAGAAATTTCTAATCATTGGCGGTATCAAAAATTAAATGGGCTACACTAGATAAAAGTGAGTCCTCTCTATTAAAAATTAAAAATTGATTATATTTAAGGGGGCTACTTCATTAACCATAGCTATAACTGAGTGACCTACAAGGCAATCTGCAGGATATCAAGATGATAAAACGGTTTTATGATTATATGTGCAACTGGTCAATGAATATTTTACATGCCCCCAATAAAAGAATATTAGCCTATATTTCTAAAATACACTGATTTTTCAGCTTATTTTTAAATGCACAGTTATATTTGACTATTAAACAACTGTTTATCTTACATATATTTATCTTAAAATGAACATAAAAATATATATGTAAACCAAGAATAATAGTTTTTAATATTTTTTAATTACATAAATTACCTGCACACAGAACACTGCCGCTGAGGCTGAAGAGCAGTGAACATAACAATCATGGAATAGTTTCGAGGTGGTGCCTTTATAAATTTTCGGAATTTATCACCATTCATTCGGAAGATTGAGCGTCTGGAACTCCATTCCATCAGCTGCTCTACTTTTTCAGCTAAAAGATTCTGCAATTAAACACAGAAATTAACATTTACAAAGAGTCAAAGTCCTTTTGTTTGAATTTCATATAAATGCATAAAATGTTTTATTTTCTTTTTCCTAATGATATCCAAGTTTATAGAAAAGATAAAAGACCATATTTCTGCTCCTAGAAAGATAGAAAGGACATATATTTTTATAATGTTGGGTTTTCTCTTGGCCTTATATATCCCAGACCACTTGCTAGAGAAGTCAGCAATCCAAGAATGCCAATGGGGGTTGACATAAAAAAAAAGAAGGCTCAAGAAAAGTAAGCTCTTGCTATCCAAAGGACAAAGAAAGGGGAAGCCCAGTAAAAATAATAACTGCTCTACTCTAGTCTAGCCAAACATCACAGCAAAAGGAAAACAAAACAACAACAAAAACTACAACCTCACAACCACCCCCACAAACACAAAGCTGCAACTATACACAAAAGAGTGTTGTATGATTCTACTTAAAGTCAAAAATAGGAAAAACTGATGTACTGTGCTAAAAGTCATTATGGTGGCTAGTCTGGGAGGCACAGTGACTGGTAGACAGCACAGGTGGAACTGGGCTATTAGTAATATTCTGTTCCTAGGGAGGTTTGGGAGGAGACAGCACTGTAGCTTCTGTATAGAAGGCTCTTATAGGCTGGGAATGGTGGCTCACACCTGTAATCCTAGCACTTTGGGAGACCAAGGTGGGAGGATCACTTGAGCCCAAGGAGTTCAAGATAAGCTTAGGCAACACAGTAAGACACTGTCTCTAAAAAAAAAGAAAGAAAGGAAGGAAAAAAAAAGGCTCTTATCTTTAGAACATTCATCTTACTTGAACAAGCCTGAGAAGTTAACAACTCTACAACACTGTATTCCTACAAGACAAAGAAACTGCCTGCCATTTTAAAACCAAGCAAGTATAAGCGGTCAGGAGAGGGAGGCTTGAAATGTGCCATTTAACCAAGCTCTACTCTAGAAATCAGAGAGAAAAGTAATCTCTTTCCCCTCTCCTCTCAGGTGAAAAAGGAAAAGTGGCTCACAGAGACTGGGTGCATATACATCAAGAAGAGAGAAGGGAAGGCAGACATCTTATCCTGAGTTAAGGTAAAAGACTTGTTGCAGTGCTTTGCACCCACTTGAACAGGAAAAAAGATAAATGGAAAGAAATGGAAGGGAGGAAGGGAAGGAAAGTAAGCTGGCCAAAGAGCATAGTAACCTGCAGAGAGAGAACATTCAGACATGCATGCATGCTAACTGTATGAAAAAGAAAAATCACAGCTAATGACTCGGCTGTGTTTTTTTTTTAAAAGACCCAATTTTGCCACAACCAAAGGGCATCAACTGAAATTGATCTTAACCTCAAAACAAACAAATTACTTGCATTTAGTTAGATTTACATATATAGATTTATATATAAAAATATATAGCTATAGATTTATCTATATAGATTTATCTATATATAATATTTATGTATAATTTATATATATAAATCCATATATATATTTGCAGTCTGAGTTAAATATATATATATAACTTTGGAAATATACTTTATATATATATATATATTTTACATATATTTATGTGTATTTTATAGATATATATTTCCAAAGTAAAATAACCTTATTAAACTGAAAATGATAACTTATCTCTCTGCCTCATCAATATACCCAGAACAGTAGAAAGTGACATAGAAGGACTTCTCCTAATTGTTCTTAGTTTCAATTTTGAGAAGCGAAGTGAGGTTATTTTCCATGTTAAGCACCATTTAATAGTTTTTGCCTTACAGAAAACTGTTATATATTTAATAAGTTTTAAAGTCTCCAGTATTTACCAATACACACAATGAACCAACTTACTATATAAATTCTTTTGAGCCTTGAAAACATTTTAAAATAATAAGATAAAAACTATATAAATATTTATTTTTTAAGTATTTAGAGACTGTGACCCTCTATGGAAAGAGTGGAAATCAAGCAGGGTAATCCACTAATGAGGGCAGAAGAGAACTGGTCTAAGAAAGTTACTTACGTATGAGTTACCTCAGTATTTTATGCTTTTCTCATTACACACATGCACAACACACACTCACACACAGACACACACCACACACAATCTTTTAATACTCTTTGAATTTCTACAATAATCTTACTGTTTTTCTCATTTAAAAATCCCATTTATACCAAATATGTATCTATGAAAACAGTAAGTAACTGTAAAAGGTCAAAGATTTCACTTTACTTTTAAATAATCAAAGAAGCCAGCCCCAGTTTCACGGATGCTGAAAGGAATGAGACTCCTGAGTCTGGTACTCCTATTTCCCATGCTTCCCATCTTCAAGGTAATACGAAACTCATTTAATAGCCTGATCACAAACGAAAATTCCTCACAGAGGAATAGTTCTTATTTAAGTAACAAAGGACTAGGTAAGTTACAAGTGCCTTCAAAAACCAAGCAAAACACAAGAATGCATACTCTTAACTTGGTTTAACTGAATTCCTTTTTGTAGTACACTTCTAGTTATCATACAATTACTATATTCCTTCAGAATTAGGCAAATATATATACGTCATTTTTCTAAATATTGAGAACCACTGTGCTACAGATTTCAGGGTACACAGTCATGTTTAATACTAAAAAAAATCAATGTAAAATATAATTTCTACACAATCACATCTTGAAAAATGTAGAATTCTAACTATATGTAATTTTCCCATTACAAATATTCTGGAAAAAATCTTTTAAACAAAATGCCTGTTAGTCCCATCATTTTGCATCAATCTTGACAAACTGGTATTTTTCATTACCATGACTACACTTCCTTACAAACACTATATCAGTGTGAAAGTCTAACGCTATCTGCAATGTATTAATATATTAGAGTGTGAGATTCACTATACCCTCAACAGATTAGAGTATTCATTCTTATTCATCTTCTATCTCTTTATGGTGTACACATATGCACACACACTTCCAAGTTAATCGACAATGGTATCTTATTTTAATTTGCAGTTTGTTTGTTTGTTTCTGACACAGTCTCCCTCTGTTACCCAGGCTGGAGTGCAATGGTGCAATCTCAGCAAATCGCAACCTCCACCTCCAGGGTTCAAGGGATTCTCATGCCTCAGCCTTGCACTGTTATTTCTGGCAAAATTGAGTCATTTTTTCACAATTCTGAATGCTCTCTCTTTCTTACTAATTAAAACTCATGTCCATTATCCTTGATCTATTCATAAATATAATCTGTCCTATACAAGAGATTAAAAAGTATATGGAATAGGCCGGGCACGGTGGCTCACGCCTGTAATCCCAGCACTTTGGGAGGCCGAGGCAGGCAGCTCACAAGGTCAGGAGATGGAGACCATCCTGGCTAACACAGTGGAACCCCATCTCTACTAAAACAAACAAACAAACAAAAAAATACAAAAAATTAGCCAGGCGTGGTGGCGGGCACCTGTAATCCCAGCTACTCCAGAGGCTGAGGCAGGAGAATGGCGTGAACCCAGGAAGTGGAGCTTGCAGTAAGCCGAGATCGTGCCACTGCACTCCAGCCTGGGCGACAGAGACAGACTTCGACTGGAAAAAAAAAAAAATATATGGAATAAAACTCTTTCCAGACTAATCAATGTTAAAACTAGGATAAAATTTTGTCACTTCTAAATTGTTTTCTTTCTGCTTATAGGGTAAACGAGGAAGAGCAGAGAGCAATTATAAATGAGAAAAGTAGCACTTTAAAAGCATGTATTATATTTGATTACATTTTGTGAATTATTTTTCTTTTAAAAGTCTCAATCTATTATATGAAAAATATCAATTATTTAAAAGCTGGAAACACAAATCCATGTTCTGGAATAACAATAAATATCAAATCATAGTGAAAATAAGAACTGAAATCTCGCCTATTCTTAGTATCCCAACTGCCTTAAGGGAGAAACACATTTCTCACTTAAACTAGGCTAAAATACCAGTAAAATCCACAAAACGATTTTTCTTTGAATTTTAAGTATCAAACTACTTTTAATAATTTCTTCCAAAACACAGCATATAAGGTAATGGAAGTGTTCCGACTTGTGACTAGTGGTAGAGCCATGACTGCATTTGCCAAAACCCACAGAAATACAGTCATGTGTCGCAGTGATGTTAATCACTTAACAACAGACTCCATACACAAAGACGGTCCCATAAGATTATAATGGGGCTGAAAAATTCTTACCGCCTAATACTGAAGGGCAGCCGTGGTAACACTGCAGCACACCGTTTTACTCCTGTGCTTGTGGTGATGCTGGTGTAAACAAAGCTACTGGCTGCCAGACATATGAAAACACAGCACATGCAATTACGTATAGTATATAATACTTGATAACGATAAACAACTTTGTTACTGGTTTTATGTATTTACTATACTTTTTATCTTTAGACTGTACTCCTTCTGCTTATTTGTTTTCTAAAGTTAACTGTACAACAGCCTCAGGCAGGTCCTTTACGAGGTGTCCAGAAGAGAATGTTATCCTAGGAGATGACAGTTCCATAACTGTTATTGCACCTGAAGACCCCCCAGTGGGACAAGATGTGGAGGTGGAAGATAGTGATATTGATAATCCTGACCATGTGCAGGCCTAGGCTAATGTATGTGTGTCTTAGTTTTCAACAATAAAGTATAAAAACTTCTTAAAAAATCAGAAAAAAGCTTACAGAATAAGGATATAAAGAAAATATTTTTGTACAGCTGTAAAATGTGTTTGTATTTTAAGCTAACTGTTATTACAAGAGTCAAAAAGTTAAAAAAAATTAAAAACTTTTAAAAAAAGTTCTAGTAGGGTAAAGTTAATTTATTATCAAAGAAAAATCTTTCGATAAAGCCTAAGCGTGCAGTGTTTATAGAGTCTACAGTAGTGTACAGTAACGTCCCAGGCCTTCACACTCACTCACCGCTACTGACTTATTCACCCAGAGCAACCTCCAGGCCTGAAAGCTCCATTCATGGAGAGTGTCCTAGACAGGTGGACCATTTTTTTTACCTTTTATACCATATCTTTGCTGTACCATTTCTAAATTTAGACGTGGTTAGATACATAAATACTTCTTATTGTGTTACGACTGCCTACAATATTTAGTAGAGTACTATTGTGTACAGCTTTGTACCCTAGGAGCTATACCACACAGCCTGGGTGTGTAGTAGACTATACCATCTAGGTTTCGGTGAGCATACTTTTGTCTTTAAATAACACAACAGTAGACAACACAAAAATGGTTTCTGCCTTACATATTTTTAAATGATCAGCCAGGGTTGGGAGGATGGTTTCAAAATAAAAACCAAACTTTAACAACTGAACTTGACTGCATTACTAACGTAAACATAACTTTGGAAAACAGTATTTGACTGGATATTCTTAAAGCCAAAGAGAAAAAG